>NC_000013.11:82076281-82229122 GCF_000001405.40 Homo sapiens
AGAAAGAATGTCAGGGCACATTTACTGCAGGAATTCTTTATCTAAGCCTTCACAGACTGAGACTGAGCAGAATAAAATAATATAAGGATAAGTCTAAATTTATAGCACTTTTTATTCACCAAATAAAACAGAATTTGGTTGGAGAAATTGACTCTTTGGATTTGAATTGTTAAGTGGATTTAAAAGTAAGATGTAATTTCTCCCTGAATAAACACACACATGCAAATCTTTTAGTTACAAAAGATTTACACTAAAATATGGGACATCTTTGTGTTTGTGATTTTTTACATAACTTTATACGTTCGATGTCATTGTAGAACCTTTGATTCATGGTGGACTATTATAGTCGAATGTGTTTCGGGTTGGACAATTGAATAGTGAATTAAATGCCAGCCTTGGCAGCCAAATAGCCTTAGGGTAAAGTTTTTAAATTAACTCATGACCATGTTTGGTTTGTCTCTTATGTAAAATTCTACACTGCAAATCAGGGATCCCAAGAGGCTACATAAAAGAACAATAAGAGTTAATGGGGGATGGAGAACTATAAAACTGCGGATTTTCTCCTCTGGGATATACACTTGTACTCCTAATTCCTGTATCTGTTTCCTCATATGTCCCTTGCTGTAAAATAGTGGCTTTATTGATTGATAAATTTGGGAAAGATAAACTATGTAAGTCTGATTCTTTCTCTCTTTTCTTGGCTACAGGCTGAAAGAACAAGCACATTTTCAGTTTGTCTTACATATTTTTCACAAAGGGCAGGTCACCACGAGGTACATGGGTTTGCAATTGTGTTACACTGGCTGCATTTGGGAGAATTTGTCTACCAGGGGCAGATATTTAGGTCTTGGCACCCCAGTTGCGTTCACATATAAGCCACATATCAATAATGTAATACAGTACTGTGGTCTCTATTTGAGAACTTTAGGCCTTATTTTTATATTAGTTCAGACTTCAGGAGATAAAAGAAAACGCTGTAAGTTTGATCTATGCTTATATATACACAGAAGTAATTAAGTCTCTTTAATTTATTATGTGTTTAGGCCATAATCGCTTTTCAAATACATTAAAGTTTAAATATCTACTTTTATATTTCTAGAAATGTAATTCATGAACATAGTGTAAAATATGAACAGTACTATTACACATAAAAATATATAAAATAAATTTTTACAAGTTTGCTGTCATATCTTTGAAATGTTTTTAGTAATCTACTAGGCTAAAACACACCTTTTAAAAATACCACTTATATTTCATACCAAATAATATGCTTAAACTTTATAATCCTCACATTAGAACTTTACAAATCTCTTAATTTGAATCTTGACTCTTAAGGTGATATCAATTTTATGGTAAAATATTTGAAACTATGGTAAACTACAATGTGTTATGTAATTTTTTGTCATTAACAAAAATATTAGACACATTAACCTTTGAGACAATATAAGTCTTAAACAGTTCCTGGTGTAGGAGCAGTCAGTGACATTTCAAGTTTTTTAGCTGTTGTTACTGATAGCCTGCTAAAGTAGTTAGTTTTTAAGTAACAGAAAGAAATAGTGCTTCCAGCATCATAAAGACATATCTTAGGACAGTGCTTTTTTTTATACTTTGTTACTTTCAATGCTCATGGACTAAAGACCATGAATACCAACAAAGCAATTCCACCTACTTCATTAGGTCTCCAAGGAAGAAAGCAGTTTAAACATCTACAACTGGCTATAACTCAAATTCCAGTCTTTTGTGTTTTCTCATTCATATTAAAAGTTTCCTTCATATTCAGAGAGATCACCACATCACCTGAATTTTTTGGATTCAATTATATGTTCTCTGTTAAATTTGGGATGACAATACATCTACAACTCTGGTTCCAAATTAAAATTCTGATACTATAGAAATGAATTAGACCTTGTATAAACTAGGTTTCTGTGCAACAGGAAGAATTTTTATAAAGGAAAAAAGAAAATTTACCAAAATGTCAATTGCTTTGAAGAATTTCATATGTGATTTACTGAACTCAGGCAAACAACCTACAGTTCATAGTGAGAGAGAATAATAGCTAATGAAGGGAGAAAAAATGAGACAGAAAAATCATACTTTTAAGAAGGTAGCAGAAAATAAAAGATGACTGCAAAGAGCCTTGGTGTTTAGTTTCAGGCCTTGAGGATGAGAATAAATGTTTTTCCTAATATGCCATCTAATTTTTTGGCTCAGACATTTTCTCCTAACATTTTTTTTTCTGGTCCTAAAACAGAATAAAATAATCCCCTACACATCAAAATAACATAATTCTGTGCTCTTTATATTATTAAAATGCTCAATAAGAGTTGCATCAATATTGTTTGAGAAGAAATTTGAATTCACAGAAGGTTGATATGGGATTGTCATAATACCAAGTAATTAGCACTAATGAGAATAATAGAAAGGGTATAGTTAAGAGGAAAAGATAATATCTGGAAACAAAATTTCAAGGAACCATCCCAACCACCTGTGGCATTCCCCCACTGCCCTGACTATAAGTGGATCTTTCATAGTGTAAGAAGTGTACAGAAACTGTGGCAAAGAAAGTACAGATTTCTCAGAGAAAGTCTTTAAGATTTACCATTGGCTCATGGTAAGTAGAAACAAGAAAGAAAGAAAAAGATAAGAATAATTTTCTCTAGAGAGTCATGCTGTGTGTTAGTACTATGATTCTTCAGTTAAGTCTTGTTTTTTTTCACAATTACAATAAAATGTTTTATCCTTGTGACTGTAAATACTTTTGACAATACATGTGCATTTAATTTTTTCTATATATTAATTTTTCAGAGTTATAGCTGAACACATTTGAATATTTTAATCATTTTCTCTTTGTACCATGATATTGGCATATACTATAATCAACTATAAAATTATAAAATGTTCCTCTTAAAATCTTAGTGACTGTTTTTTATGAGGCAAAAGATATATGGCAGGTATGATTATTTCAGAGCCATCTAATCCTAAAGGGCTATAGTCAAGATAGTTAATAATTGTTAGTTTCATATTAGAAATACTAACCATAAATGTTCACTACCAATTCTACAGACTGTTAGAATATATTATTGAAAATAAAGCAAATGCATTCTGTTGTTACAAGCCTCATAACATTAAATCTGCACAATAAAGTAATAAAGTTCTTCTAACATTATACAGACATTGTCATCCCTTACAAATAATTGCCTCTGCAAGCCTTCTCAGTAATCTTGATACCACTATACAGCATGAGTAAGGGTCAGAATCCTAATAAAAATAGGATCAGAATTAAGACATCACTTACATTTGGCAGGACGAGTGTAAAATCATGATGATATATCTATGTGGAGCCCTTACATAAGCAGTTGAGGACAAATTCACCTAATTGGAAGCAAATACTAGAGATTAATATAGATTTAGGAGTTGAGAGTCTAAGACATAAATATATTATTATCATTTCATAGTTGATAGACAGAAAGTGAGTAACTCTAGTGGGCCCTGATTAATTCCTACAGAAGACTGCTGAACTCCATACGGTGGACTTGATCAGCAAAAAAAGGGAAATATTACGTCAGGTGGGTAAGAAAGATAAAATGTTACAAAATAAGAAGGAGATGGGGGAAATTTAAAAACACTGTTTTAGAAAACAAATCTTTAATATCAAATTCAATTTTCAGTATATTAAGAGGGGAATAAAATAAATATCTATTAAACAATAACATAAAATAGAGCTATGATTTATAGGAGCAACACCTTATACTGTGTTACATATATTTTGTTACCTCATAACAACTCTATGAAGCTCTTTATTACTCAAATAATAATACTAAGTTTTGCCAATTTTTTTGGCAAATATTGGTTTGTTTTAAAAGATGTTATCACTGAAAAATTATTAATCTATATAACTATCTTTTTATATGATATCCTATATGTATGTATGTGTGTAATTGACTCAAATAGGTGTTACTGAAACTATCTTCAGTTTGTCAAAGGTGCTTTCTTTTTTGTGACCTTCGGCAAGGCAAATTTTTTTATTATATAAATAATGATATATTATTTTGTATGCATTATATTTATATAATATACAATTTATATATTGATAAAATAAATAAGGTTTTTTTGCCTTACATAAGATCACAAAAGAAGAAAAAACTGTTAACAAATATATTTCCATAGCTTTTGGGCTCCAAGTGGTTTTGGGTCACATGAATGAATTGAACAGGGTTAAGTCTGAGGTTTCAGTGCGGCTTTCACCCAAGTAGCGTACATTGAACCCAACATTTAGTTTTTTAACCCTCACTTTTCTCTCATCCTTCCCCCTTTGAATCTCCAAAGTTCATTATATCACACTGTCTGTCTTTTCGTTCCTGTAGCTTAGCTCCCACTTATAAGAGAATATATGGTTTTCCATTCTTGAGTTTACTTCACTTAGAAATGTGGCCTCCAGCTCCATCCAAGTTATTGCAAAAGACACTATTCCATTCTTTTATCATCTTAGTAGTTTTGATGGTGTATGTATACCACATTTTCTTTATCCATTCATGATTGGTAGACACTTAGATTGACACTTAGTATTCATATAAATTATTTTCTGAACATTTTCTTTTGACAAGTTTGCCTATAATTTGTGAATTTTGGATATTAAAATGGTGATTTTCAGCATCAATAAAATAGGTAATTGAGTACAAATACATCGTGTATTTATATATAAGAGACATCAATAATATGACAAATAAATTTATTTCATATGTTTTAGTGATTTTGCAAGGTCCTTTATTTCCTATTTGTTCTTATTTAGATAACATTTACATAAATACTTCTTAATTTTTAGAATCTTTCTCATATATATCTATATTTAACACACATACAAATACATGTATGTGTGTGTAAATCTACCTACCTACCTACCTATCTATCTATCTATCTGGAAAAGATTCTAAGAATTAAGACAAATGTCTCATAGTATTTTAATTTTAATAGATTCAACTGATTACATTAAAAATTCATTAAATTTACCTTTGTACAAGAAATACTCATGTAAAATTTTCTCAGAGGCTTGCTAGCATTGTGTTAGGTTATGTTTTCCTATGTCACATTTATTTATTTTCAATAATTTGCTGTGAAGGCTTTGTTAGTCTATTTGTTCTTTACTAATGAGTTTAGGTTTTTTGTTATTTGAGAAGGTGCTTACGTTGACTTGATTTCTTGTTTTTTTTTTTGTATTTTGTTCTTTGTTTCTTTTTTCTAACTTTGAATATATGTCTTATGTGTTGTATATCTTCATAGAAAATTCGTTTTTGAAAAACATTTTTGTTCACATTTTAATATTGTTAAGCACATATTTTTAAATAATTTATAGTAAAACGTATGTTCATTTTAAAAAGTGTGGTGTGTGTGCGTGGATGTGTGGGGGAGGTGGTGATGGTTTTGTTATTTTAAGTAGTATTAAGACTACTTTGGACTGATAAGATTTTATCTACAAAAATTCCCATTGATTTTTAAGAATAAATACTAGATGGTAAAATTAACTCAGAGCACTGAGGCAGTCATCAGATTATGTAAATATTTTGTAAATTACAGAATTCTGTAAATGGCACAACTTTATATATAGAGACACACACAAACACACATATGCATATAGACACACACTACATTTGCTACAATTCAATGCAAATATGTGTCTTACATTGTCTTTTTCAGAATATCTAGCATTAGGAAATTGAATAAGCTATTCTATCTTGTATTTCTGTTTGGCTAAACGGATTATTTATGTGAGACAGAAAAATACAATTGCCATTGAGTTTAAATCAATATTCATTAAAATTCTAGTAACTCAATACATGCAGTACTTCAGGAATTTTATACAGATTATATTTAATCCTTACCATAACTTTATCGAGCAGTTATTATTAGTTCTCTTTATGCAATCATAAAGTTGAGGGCTTGTGCTATGTAACTTGTTCAATATATTTTATTAAACAAATATTTATTAAGCATATAATGGGTGTGTGGTTTAAAATAGCATACGCTAAAGTCTTAAATGACTAATTTCTTTTTTTGTTTTTTTTTTTTTTTTCTGAGACCGAGTCTTGCTTTGTTGCCCAGGCTGGAGTGCAGTGGCGCGATCCCGGCTCACTGCAAGCTCTGCCTCCCGGGTTCATGCCATTCTCCTGCCTCAGCCTCCCGAGTAGCTGGGACTACAGGCGTCCACCACCACGCCTGGCTAATTTTTTTGTATTTTTTTTAGTAGAGACACGGTTTCACTGTGTTAGCCAGGATGGTCTAGATCCCCTGACCTCCTGATCCGCCCGCCTCAGCCTCCCAAAGTGCTGGGATTACAGGTGAGAGCCACCGTGCCTGGCCTTAAGTGACTAATTTCTAAATGACTAACTCTCCCACAAAATTGTTTATGTAGAATACCCCACCTCTCACTCAGTCTCCTTATACATGCTAGAAATTGTGAACATAAAAATGAATGAGTTTTTGATCTATAAGAAAATAATATTGGATAAAGAAAAACTATGATTTTAAAAAGAGGATAATTTAAAGATTGTTTAGGCATCTTTTTGGAAACAATTAACGTTGAGAGTTTCCTTTGACAATGTCTACCAAAGTTGCATAAACAAAGACCCTAGGTACCATCAATTCTTATCCTATGTTGACATCAAAGAGAAATGCAAGCATACATTCATGACCAAGGACATGTTCAATGTTATTTATGCCCATGTTCAGAATAGTACCACAACAGGCAAGAACATCTAAAAGTGGATTAATAACAATATTAGTGAATAAATATATTGTACAAGCTAATGCTAAAAACAAAAGTATGGGTGAATTGTAAATTTAAAACAAACAAGAATACTTCTGTGTATTAGTCCTCTAATATAAAGTTCACACATGATCAAAAATACTACATTATGGCCACAGGTGATATCATGGCCTTTATAAGAAAAGGGAGATTGTAATGAAAGAGGAGAAGTATAAAAGCTTTCTTGGCTGGCATTTAAGTTTTATGTCTTGATATATTTAGTAGGTACATAAATGTGTTTTGATAAATCATGAATATACACATTTAGGTTTATGTATTTATTTATATACTCAACTAATTATAGTCAAGAGTTATTTAAAAGATTTGAATATTTTATGCTTATCTAAATATTATTGACAGCTGAGCATTGCAATGCCTTATGTTGACTTGTTCTTCCATTTTGGTTTTCTCTTTTTGTTTGTATGGCTGTGTAATTTTCAATGCATTATTTCTACTCCATTCACAAACTATATTTTCATGATGCTTATATACACTGTGAAATATACAAAACTATATTTGAGGTTCATTCCTACACACCTCAAGTATTATTATAAAATTGTTAAATAAACTACAAGTTTTATGTGCCTTTACAATAAATTTATGCATCGGTTTGTTCAAGGGTCTAAAGGTTGGTAGACCTTCTACTAGGGTGCAGGTCATCTTGGCCCAGCTTGGCCTTGATCTTGATTGTGATCCCAAATAATTGGTCTCATTTTTCTGTTTCTTTTGTATTTATATGTTAGAACCAACTGATCTCCAGGGATCTTCTTGTCATCTAGAATCATAGAATACAAGAGGTCCAGCCAAATTACACAATCACATCGAAAGGCTTTCTTTGCTTTATGTATGCTAATATTCTGCTTGTCAAAGCAAGTCATGAAGATAATATCAACATCAATGGACAACTTTTTGAGTCATGTGTTGCTGCAAGAGAATATCACATGATGGATAATTTATAAAGAAAAGTTTATATCACGGTTCCGGAGGCTGCGAAGTTCATTGTCAAGGTGTGGGCACCTAGTGAGGGCCTTCTTGCTGTGTCAATCATGACAGATAGTGAGATGAGGGGTGTGTGTGTGTGTGTGTGTGTGTGTGTGTGTGTGTGTGTATAGAGAGAGAGAGGGGTATCAAACTCATAGCCTCAAGCCCTTTTTGTAATTGGCATTAACCCATTCATGAGAGTGACACCCTCATGACCTAAATACCTCTCAATAGGCCCCACCTCCCAACACTGCTGCATTAGGGATTAAGTTTCCAACAAATGAACTTTGGGAGACACATTCAATCCTAGCATCTGGGAATAAAAATATTCTCTACCTAGGGCCCAAATTAGGACAAAGCCAGTAAGGTAAAGTTGGGTAAGTGCAGGGTGCAATCTGGTTTTGTTTAGAATTTTGATGTTTTTGTACCATGAATTTATTGCATTAAAGTTGGTTATTTTCAAATATTATAGTAAAATATAATTTAATTATTTAGTTTTTTGGTTTCCCTTTACATATTGTCCTGAAAAGAATGGAGGAAACCTCACTTGCTTTACCTTTATCATTGCCCTGATTCTACTTCTTCTGTTGTGATAGATTATAAAGGCACTTGACAAAGAGGATGAATTAAATAGGATAATGTGATATGAAACATGTACAATTATAATGAAATATATTTATAACAATCTAATATATAGTCAAGACAATATAAAATAATCAGTTTTATCAAAAAACTAGAATAATAGATTATGAGCTTTATGTATATCTATAAAGGGTTTCTAAATTTCTGGTACTCTTTTTTAAAAGATGGTTACACTCATATATGTTTTATAAATATTTTTAACCTTTATAAACTTTTAAACCATATCCATGTGTGTACATGCACATGCACATGCACACACATACACACATAAAGACTTTAATGTTCACAAAAAGTTAAATAAAGTGAATGTGGATCATTGTGAGGACCACAACTTCAGGAGTTGATCAGAAAACTACCAGCATCTTCTCAACATAGCAGCTCATGTCTCTGAGAGCAATTACAGATCCTGGTTGTAAGAGAAATACTTTTACATTATATGCTTTGTAACTGCTCTCCTTCACAACTTAGCTATGTATACCTTTGGTGATGTTCACACTTACATATGTAGAATAGAAAATAAACCAGCAGTCCTGTTGGAGGCAGCACAAATGTTTCTTATGATTAGGTGTAATTGAAGCCTGTCAGTAACAATATGAACCTAAAGCAGCTGACCAATCGTTACCTCCTGCTCCTTGCTCTTGTTACCTAATAAATAACAAAGGGCTGCAGAAGCTTGATGGGGGGCTGCCTTTGCTCACTAGAAGTAGGGAGCTCTCTTCTTCCCCATGCTAGCCTTTCCTTAAAACAGTTTCTTTTGTCTTAAGTTTTTATTTCTACATTCATCCTTTTGTTCAGTCTTGTAATGACAGTCTCAAGCAGTAACATTAAGTAACCGCTGTAGTGACTGTCTCAAGTAGTAGCAGTGGCAAGTCAGCCACACAGTCCTACTGTTTAAATTAAGTGAAAACCTAAAAGAAAATCTGAAAAAAAATATGCATGATTCTTATTCAGTATTTGAGCTGAGTTTTTCTTTCAGGGGAAATGATTTAGTTTTTATTGAGGCTATAAGAATGGACAAGGTTAGGATTACACTACCACATGTGTTAAACATATAATAAGAAATATCTATGGAAATCCTACAGATTTCTAATTTTGCACAAAAGACAATGTATATACACATATATATTCATGTGCTTTTTTCATATGTGTAATATATGTGAAACTACATCCAAAATGTATTTGCTCTCTGATCTTTAAAAATTTCCCTCTTCTTTAGGTGCCTAAAATGTGAAGATGACTATGCAATGCAGACCTGCCTAGGATACTTGGTGTTATGAATTTAGGGTAACTAAGCCAGTTAGGGGACAGATAGGGTTGTTGAAGCCTAAAAATTTTTAAGTCTCTCTAGCAATAAAGACAAAATCAAATTAGCTAAGAAGACTATAGCTTGATTATTTTAAGTTGTAATTTTCTACTTAGAAGACCTGAAAAACACTAATAATGTAGAAATAAAATCTATGTGTGCATACCATAAATGCTGTGATAATCCTTTGAAGGCAGAAGGGATAGTGTGGCAGTGTCAAGGAGGGTTTATCCTATAGCTTGTCCCAGTGGATTCTAAAAAGCAAAGATGGAAGCATATATCTCACGGTGTATGCAACAGCAATATGCATCTTGGTACCTTCATAAAAGAAGGGATATAAAAGAGCCCAGTATTTTCTGAAATACAGTTTGAATTGAGGAAAAATTTAAATGAATTTCTACAATAAATTTTTTATTTACCAGGTCCTGAATGCTATGTGTTTTGTTATACTACATTTTATTTTTAGACCTTTTATTGAGTAATGTTTATCTTTAAATAAATAGCATTTCCTGTATTTGTCCCGAGATCAACATGACTAGTCCAGCAAAATCTCAGTTTCTACCTGAATGCTGTAAAAATTCTTCCTTCATATATTGAATATCTCAATGTCCATGTAGTGATCTGGAGGCATCTGAGAAATGAAAACAAATGACATTGTTAATTTTTTGTTTTCTTTTTGACAAAATTCTTATACCATTTAAAAAAGATACAGTATAGGATGAAGTTATTCCAGAGGCTTCTATTTTATGAGTGAATGAAATTCTGCTACTGAGAAAAATCATATTTATTGTTTCTGGGCATCACCTTAATTCTTTTGTCCCAAGGTTCCTCTGCATCACTGCCTTATATATTCAATAAGCTTTATCTTTTTGAGGTTTCCTGTTAGAAGGCAAAGTGTCAGAGAGAAATTTTGCCAATGCTATCGCAAACACTCTGCTTAGTATAGTCCCAAATCACAGGATTTGTGATATGACTTCCCTGGAATGGTGCACAACTCTAGCATCTAAGAATTCCATATACAGCTGGCTTGTTTGCCCAGGACGCTCTCTTATGTGTCACAAGATTCATAGGAATGCAAATCTATAAAGTAAACTTCAATTCTAATTTCAGGATTTCTCAAAAATATAAATTTGTTTAAATAATGTACTTGCATTCAAATACTGTTTTCTTCAACAATCTTTTATGTGTCGGATACTAGTCTGGGCCCAAGATTTATAAAGGGATTAGTGGCTTGGGTATTAGCTTTCCAATATTTTCAAATCAAATCCAATTTTAGGTTCCCTGCAACCTTGACTGTGTTACATTCTTCAAGAATTTTCTCAGATATCATCTTCACAGTGATGTCAATCATAACCACCTCTGTGTTAGGCCGTCCTTGCATTGCAGCGTACGGTGGCTCACGCCTGTAATCCCAGCACTTTGGGAGGCCAAGGTGGGTGGATCACGAGGTCAGGAGATCAAGACCATCATGGCTAACTCAGTGAAACCCCGTCCCTACTAAAAATACAAAAAATTAGCCGGGTGTGGTGGCAGGCGCCTGTAGTCCCAGCTACTCGGGAGGCTGAGGCAGGAGAATGGCGTGAACCTGGGAGGCGGAGGTTGCAGTGAGTCGAGATCGCACCACTGCACTTCAGCCTAGGTGACAGAGCAAGACTCCATCTCAAAAAAAAAAAAAAAAAAAAAAAGAAAAAAGAAACACTTCAGACTGCATAATTTATAGAGAAATGTGGTTTAATTGGCTGATTTTGCAGGCTGTACAGGAAGCATAGTGCTGGCATCTACTCAGCTTCTGGGAGCTTTTATTCCCTGGGGAAGGTAAGCAGGAACAGGCATGTCACAGAGCCACAGCAGGAGCAACAGTAAAAAAGTGAGGAAGGGAGGTACCACATGCTTAAACAACTTAATCTCATAAGAACTCATTCACTATTGCAAGGACAGCACCAAGCCATGAGGGATATGCTCCCATGACCCAAATACCTCCCACCAGGCCCCAGTTCCAACACTGGGGATTGCAATTTAACATGAGAGTTGGCAGGGGCATATATTCAAAGTCATCAACCTTTTTTAAAGGTATAATCACATTCCTCCCAATTTTCATTAACTTGTTATAATTTATTTTCTGTTGGAACTTATTATTTTGTAGCATTGCTATGGTTTTCTTAGTTATTTGATTTTTTAAAAATTGTCTTTTGACCTCTGCTAGAATGTTAGCCCAAAGATGTCAAGTGATTTTACTGGTTTTGTTTGCTTGTATTTGGACAGGGTCTGACCAATGGAAAGTGATCAAGAAATATTTATTGAAGGAACAAAGTAATATATTAACTTCCTATATTTTTATCACTTTTCAGTAATATAGTGGATATTAACTCATTTTTGAGGACAGTATAATAAATAGTAAAAGAGCATCTAATATTAATCACATTTAACCAGAAGTAAGTCATCTGGTAGACATATGCTCCAAACTGACTACTTCTTACGTGTCTTTCACAAAAGTTAAACATTTCTGTAAACAGAACTTACTTTAAAATAAATCCATTGTTATGAATTTCAATATATTAAAACTTGTGTTTGTAAAAGAACAAACCATCATGTGTTTGATTATAATTTGCTTTACGACTAGCATAGAATTACTGCCTTGGGATTCTTTTTTCTTGAATCCAGCCTTTTCTTGATCAATAGACTTCCCCTTAGAGGGATAATTAGAATACAAGTTGGCATTCATTAGTATTTAGAAGATGAACAACACAATGCATTTTATTTTTGTTTGACAATCTGGTATTATTTACTTCAATATGCAAAATATATCCCAGTAACAAATAAATACATGACTATAGTTCCCTGTTTCAGATTTAACAATGCAAAAAAATCACTCTACTGGGCTTAACACTATATTTAAATGATTTCATAGTTTAACCATAGCATCATACTGTGAGGAAATAAGTACAATTTATCCAAACCTGAGTTTCAAGATTAGAATGCAGTTGTTGTGAAAGGAAGGGACGTTACTTGACCACAAAGTGTACATTAAGAACAAATGCTTCTGTTGTGTTTGAACTGTAATATTTTATATTTAATTTTTAGAAAGTGACTTCTTAATCACTTAAAAATATTGTCTAACCTTTTGACAGGAAAATAAAAAATTGCACTTTGTATCAACCCAAAACTTTTTTCCCAGGAAAGTGACAACAGAAAATTCCTTTCAGCATGTTAAATGTAATGATACTACAAATAAATTTCTGAAAGGATGAGTAATTATCCACACAAAGTCTGCAAGGTTTAATTGCTAACATACATTGACCTATGGAGAGCATGAAGACACATTGAATAAAATGTTAAAATTGTTGAAATTTGTTATTTTTAATTAAAGTTAAATTTAACATTAAAATGTATTAAAGCTTTTGATTTCCTCAATTCTTTTACCAGTAAAAAATTAAAATTTTTAAGTTTCTTAAAGTAAATTCATGCTATTTTGGTATATAGTTCTATGAGCTTTGATGCATAATTATGTTATTGTAATAATTATATTATTGTAATTGTTACAACAAAAATTATACAAAATAATTCTAATGCTCCAAAGAATTCTGTCATGCTGTTTCATTGTATTCAAACTTTATTTTATCTTCCAAACCATAGTAACAACTAGTCTGTTCTAGTTCTGATATTTTTGACTTCTCTCAAATGCTGTAAATATGAAATCAGAGAGTATGTAATATTTTGAGATTGAGTTTGCCCACTTACCATAATTCACTGGAGATCCATCCTTGTTACATAAAACATTAGTTCATTTCTCTTTATTGCTGAATGTGAATGCATCACAGTTTATCTCCTGAAAGGCCATTTGGGTTGTTTTTGTTTTGGGGCAATGTGTTGAATGCTGCTACACATTTGTGTACAGATTTTTGCGTAATTATCAGTTTTTATTTGTCTAGGATAAATACCAGAAGCATGATTGTTGGGTCATAATGTATGTGTATGTTTAGCCTTGTAGGAAGCTGCCAAACTGTTTTGCTGTGTGGCTGTCCAATTTGCATCCCTGGCAGCAATGTTTGAGTAATCCCATTGCTCCCTGGGCCAGCGAACACTTGCTTTTGTCATTATTATTCTTTTTAAAAAAAGTTTTAGCTGTCTCATAGGTGTTTAGTTGTTTCTCACCATGGTTTTAATGTTCATTTTTCCAGTTACTGGTGATATTCAGCATCTTTTAATATGTTTATTTGTAACTTGTGGATGTTTTTTGGTGAAGTGTCTATTCACATCATTTGCAAATTTTTATATGATTGTTTTCTTACTACTGAGTTCTGATCATTTTTATGCATTCTGAATACAAATCCTTTGTCTTCTATGTCATCTGCAAGTAGTCTCTTTCAGTCTCTTAATTATATCCTTTGCAGAAAAACATTTTTAATTTTAATGAAGTCTAATGTACTTGATATCAGTTCTAAAACACTTTGTCTAATCCAAGATCACAAAGCTTTTCTCCTAAGTGTGTTATGATTGTGTTTTATATTTACTTCTGTAACACATTTTGAATTAGTGATTTATATGGTGTGAAGAGAAGGTTGACTGCTGCTTCTACTACTTCTTCTCCCTTTCCCTCCACCTTCCCCTCCCCACCCTTTCTTTGTCTTTACAAAAAATATGGATACACCCTTGTCCCTAGGCCGTTTGATGAAAGACTATATTTTCTACATTGTTGCTGTTGCATTTTTGTAAAAAATCAGCTAATTTTGTTTGTGTCTGCCTATGTATGGATTTTCTGTTGTTTCTTTGGTCTTTGTTTCATTGGTCATTCGATTATACTAAACTGGCTTTCTTAATTTAGATTAATAATAACTCTTAAAATCAATGGCTATGTGTATTAGTTTGCTGTGGTTGCTATAACACCATACCACAAACTGAGTGGTTGGGTTGAGGTTACAGACATTTATTATCTCACAGTTCTAGGGACTAGAAATCTGAAATCAAAATGTCAGCAGGGTTGCTTTCTTATGTGGGCTACGAGGAAAAGATCTGTTCCAGGTTTCTCTCTTTGGCTTGCAGATGACTGTCTTCTGTTATCTGTTTACATCAGATGACTGTCTTCTGTTATCTGTTTACATCATCTTCCCTCTGTGAATTTCCTCTGTGTCCAAATGTTCTCTTTTTATCAGGATGCTGGTCATATTGGTTTAGGGCACAGACTACTCATCTAATGTTAACTTGACCACCTCTATAAAGACTTTGTCTCCAAATAAGATCATATTCTGATGTACTGGGAGTTAGGACTCTTAATATTTTGTGAGCTGGGAGAGAAAGTGGGTGGGACACAATACATCCATGACATCGTAGGTACTCTAAATCTGTTCTTTTATAAAATTATTTTGGAAAGTATAGTTCCATTTACTTATTCATATGAATTTGAGAATCAACTTGTCTATTTTTATGAAGAATCCTATTGTGACTTTGATTGGTGTTCTGTTAAGTCTATAAATCAGTTTGGTATGTTTGTCATCTTAATCATTTTGAGTCTTCCAAATTCATTAATATGATATGTCTTTATAATTATTTCTATTTCTTTCATATATTTCACCAATAATTTAAAAATTTTAGCATATATTTTCTGTACATATTTACTTAAGATTACTTTCTCATGGAGCAGAGCTCATGAAATGATGACACATTATGTTTTTGTTTTTATTCTTCATTACTAGTTAACAGAAAGATGACAGTATTGTGTATATTGATCTTATGTCTTGTGACATTGCTCAATTTAGTTATTTCTTCCAAGATATTGCTTAAATAGATGCTCTTAAAATTTTCTATATTGACAATTATGTTTTCTGTGAATAGGCATCATTTTATTTATTTATTCCTTTACAATCTGAATACTTTGATTTCTATTTCTTGACTTACTGCCTGTGATAGAACTTTCAGTATGGTAATAAATAAGAGTGGTGAGAGAAATCCTTGCCTGTCAGGGAAAACAACACTTTATCTTTCCCCATTATATATGATATCAGCTATAGATTATTTATAGATTTTTCACACTAATTGAATGTTTATTTTGCGTTCTCATTTGCTCAGTTTTTGCCATCAATGGATATCAAATATTGTCAGATATTTTTCTGCATCTATTGATATAATCATATTCATTTTATAAGATCAGTTATATCATGAAATGCATTGACTTTTTAGTTACCCCTACCCTGAATACAAATTTCCACTTTTCTGTAATGTATTCAGAGTTGAGTCTAATCTCTCTTCATTACTGCAAAATCCCATGGCAGTAGTTCCTACAGCTATCATCATAGTTCTGAGTAAAGTCTGATTTACCACTTTAACAAGTGTCATAGTTTTTTCAACACCTGTGCTATGTGCATATTATTGAAAATCACTCTCTCTCTACAAGAAATCATTCTTCTGTTTACTATTTCCCAAATTCTTGTTATCTTGGTCAGCGTGTGTTGTATCAGAGGTCAGAGGGGTATTACGAGCTGTTGTGTTACCAGAGTGGCATTTGTGGGTTGTTTGTTTGAGATTATCCAAAACCAAACTGGAGGATCTGCTGCCAACTGCAGTTATGTAACCTGGACCTGTGAACTTTAGATGCATAGAATAAACAGGATCTTAGAAGACTAATGCTACCTTTTCTCATCTTTTAATTTTATATTACTTGTGCGATAAATTGCCTGTAATTAATATGTTAATTTTACTGTAATTTTTGTTAAGTTTGGAGAATTTTATGTATTGTAAGATATTTTACATTTGTCCTGATTTTGCCACAACATGGATTTGAAGGACTCCAGTATGAAATAATACTTTTAATACCACAAAAAAAAAAGCAATTGCTGTCTCAGGTATTGTTTTACACCAAAGATATGATAAGCAAAACATTGTGTACTACAAAATGACTGCTTCCTGTCCACTCTTCAAAACCTTTTAAAAATGTCTTTTGTGGCCCACTCTAACCAGAAAAAAGAAATTCTGAAAAAATGTAATTCGGAAATTCACTTTGCTAAATTAGCTCATTACAAAACCATGATACAATATATGCTTTCGTATGTTAACCATGTTAACCTTTTTTTACAGTTTAATTTTTAGCTTTTTAAAATTTTCTACTCTAAACACAACTACAAGCTTTCTGATATCTAAATATTTCTGACCAGACATGGTGGCTCACGCCCGTAATCCCAGCACTTAGGCTGAGGCAGGTGGATCACGAGGTCAGGAGTTCAACACCAGCCTGGCCAAGATGTGAAACCCCATCTCTACTAAAAATACAAAAATTATCCAGGCATGGTGGTGGGCACCTGGAATCCCAGCTACTCAGGAGGCTGAGGCAGGAGAATCGCTTGAACCCGGGAGGCGGAGATTGCAGTGAGCCGAGATTGCACCATTGCACTCCAGCCTGGGCGACAAGAGCAAGAGACCATCTGAAAGAAAAAAAAAGAAAAAAAAAAAAAAGTGCCTGTGGCAGGCAGGAGTTTGGCCCCCGTGATCTTAGTCCTCTGGTGCTACTTCCACGCTGTGGAACAGAATAGAGAGCCCAGAAATAATGCCACACGTACAACCATCAGATCTTCAACAAAGCCAACAAAAATGAGCAACGGGGAAAAGACTTCCTATTCAATAAATCCTGCTGGGATAACAGGCTAACCATATGCAGAAGATTGAACCTGAACCCTTTTGTTATACCATACACAAAAATCAACCCAAGATGGATTAAATACTTAAATATAATATAAATACAGAACTATAAAAACCCTGAAAGAAAACTTAGGAAATACCATTCTGGACATAGGACCTTGCAAAAATTTCATGGTGACGCCAAAAACAATTGCAACAAAAACAAAAATTGACAACTGGGACCTAATTAAACTAAAGAGTTTCTGCACGGAAAAAAAAGAAAAATGAAAACATTAGCAGAGTAAACAGACAACCCAGAGAATGGGAGAAAATACTTGCAAACTATACATCTGAGGAAGGTTTAGTTATCCAGAATCTATAAGGGAGTTAAATTTACAGACAAAAAAACAACCCCATTAAAAAACAGACACTTTTCAAAAGAAGACATACATGTGGCCAACAAGTATATGAAAAAACAATGCTCCATATCACCAATAATCAGAGAAAAGCAAATCGAAACCGCAATGAGATACCATCTCATACCGGTTAGAATGGCCGTCATTAAAAAGTCAAACACTAAAAGATGCTGGAGTGGTTGCAGAGGAGAGGGAATGCTTTTATACTGCTGGTGGGAGTGTAAATTAGTTCAGCCATTGTGGAAAGCAGTGTGGTGATTTCTCAAAGAACTTAGAACTACCTTTTGACCCAGCAATACCAGTATTGGGTATATACCCAAAAGAATATAATTATTTCTAACATAAAGACATATGCGTGTATATGTTTATTGCAGCACTATTCATAACAGCAAAGACATAGAATCAACCTAAATGCTCATCAATGGCAGACTGAATAAAAAAAATCTGGTGCATATACAACATGAAATACTATGCAGTCATTAAAAAGAATGAAAGCATGTCCTTTGCAGCAACATGGATGGAGCTATAGACCATTATCCTAAGTGATCTAAGTCAAAAATGAAAAACCAAATTTCATATTTTCTTACTTATAAATGGAAGCTAAACAATGGAAACACATGGATACAAAGAGAACAACAGACACTGGGGCCTACTTCGGGGTAGAGAATGGGAGGAGAAAGAAGGTTTTAAAAAATACCTATTGAGTACTATGCTTATTATCAGGGTGACTAAAATATCTATACACCAAATCCCCATGACACATACTTTATCTACATAACAATCTTGCACATGTGCCCTAAACCTAAAATAAAAGTTAAAAAACAAAAACATGGTGCCCTTAAACTACACTAGATTTTTTAAAATATTTTTTCCTTTTTCAGTAGTACATTAATCTTACAACTTTTTTACTCTCTCGCTAAATTTTTTTTACTATTTTATTCCTTTGTTATAACACTTAGCTTAAAACACACAATTGTGGTGCTGAACAAATATATTTTCTTTCTTTATATTCTTACTGTATTGACTTTTTTATATTCTTTAATTAATTAATTAACTTATTTTACTTTTTAAAATTTTTGTTAAAAAGTAAGACAGAAACACACATATTAGCTTAGGCCTACACTGTGTTAGGATCATCAATATCCCTGTCTTCTGACGGATTTCCACTCTATTGTGATGAAAAGATTTGAAAGATCTTTTTTTGAACTTCCAAGAAATTTCATTTACTATTTAAAAAAAACAAAAAAAAAAATCCCTGTCTTCTACCTCTGCATCTCCAGAGGCAATACCACGCATGGAGTAGTCATCTCTATGACAACAATGACTTCTGGAATACCTCTTGAAGGACATGCCTGGGGAGGTTTTATAGTTAACATCTATAAGTAGAAAGAGTACACTCAAAATAACAATAAAATGTACAGTATAATAAATACATAAACCAGTAACATAGTTGTTATCATTATTAAATATTACATACTGCACATAATTGTATGTGCTATACCTTTATAAGACTGGTGGCACAGTAGGTTCATTTACATCATTATCACCACAAACACAGGAGTAATGTGTTGCACTATGACCTAATGCAGCTACAATGTCACCAGGCAATAGAAATTTTTCAGTTCCATTATAATCTTATGGGAGCAGAGACTTATATGTGGTGCATCATTGACAAAAACGTGGGTATGTGGTGCATGACTGTACATATTAAAATTATTAGTTTTTCGGAAACTACAATTTAATAGCAAACTAATTCAAAATAGTAACTAAACAAATCAATGATCTAAAACATATTTGTTTTTATGGTAATATTAGTTAAACAAAGGAAGAAAATGTTGGACCTATGTGACAATATGTTTGATTTGTCAAAACTGATGTTTCTTCTGGACATTATATTCGATGGTTGGACAAAATATTTTAATATTAATTAGATATATTAGCTTATTAATGTATTTAAAAATTTTAACAAGTGGCATTAATGATTGTGTATGTTTTAAATAACTGATAAGGAAAGCTGAATAATTTTTCTTAATTTCAAAAAGTTTTGTGATATATAGATTTATTACCCAAAATTACAATTTTTTTTGTCAAACGTGAACTGATTTTTGATAACTGAAAAAAGTGGTCATTTTAGATTTTCAAAAGCAAAGCTCTTCATTCAAGTAAAATTACACAGACAAATTTATTGTGAAACAATAAATGTTCTAAGCATGAACATGGGAAAAAAACATATGTGTATAAAACTTTGAGAACTTTATTATTTAAAATTATGGAGACCTATTGAACAGCATCGTGGCTATAGTCAATAATAAAATATTCTCTCCATACCAGTACATAATATGTATATAAAGATCTGTTAATTAAGTATATAATAGCTTGATTTCATTATTTCGCAATATATATATGTACATCAAAACATCATGAGAGTGATGCTACCAATACAGCAGAGTAGGAGATACCATTCTTCAGCCCCACCATTAAAAATAGAAACAGCTAGCCAGGTGTGGTGGCTCACGCCTATAATCCCAGCACTTTGGGAGGCC
Organism: Homo sapiens; assembly: GCF_000001405.40. Classification (NCBI taxonomy): domain Eukaryota; kingdom Metazoa; phylum Chordata; class Mammalia; order Primates; family Hominidae; genus Homo; species Homo sapiens. The sequence goes on from NC_000013.11 coordinate 82,096,571, forward strand.
GAAGCAGGAGGATTGCAAGGTCAGGAGATCGAGACCATCCTGGCTAACACCATGAAACTCTGTCTCTACTAAAAATACAAAAAAATTAGCCAGGTGTGGTGGTGGGTGCCTGTAGTCCCAGCTACTCTGGAGGCTGAGACAGGAGAAGGGCGTGAACCCGGGAGGCGGAGCTTGCAGTGGGCCGAGATGGCGCCACTGCACTCCAGCCTGGGCGACAGAGCGAGACTCCATCTCTAAATAAATAAATAAATAAATAAATAGAAACCGCTATCCAGAAATCAAAACAATGCAAAGAGGGCCCCATTAAAGGATCTGCAGCAATATAATGAAGCAAAAAAATGGAGACTATCCATATAGAAAGGATCACTGGTGAGATCGGCATACCTGATAGTCTAGGAGAGAAGTAGGAAAAAAGAAGGCAGAATTTATTGGCATCAGCAGAAAGTGGAAACCACCCTGGTTCCAGGCAAACTGCTCGGCCCAGGACACTGGGATCTTTTTCCACTGAGGTAACGAATGGCCAAATTCCTGCTGGAGAACCCCACAAAGATGTGACTAAACGCTCCCTTCCCTGGAAGAAGCAGCTGCTATTTGAACTGCTAGGGAAATGGAGCCACCATCTCTCCCAACCACACATGTGCCCCGACACCCAAGCTGTGGCCACTTCCTGAATGCTCACACTTCAGACCTGGAATTTGTGGCTGCACTATGTCTCAGACACCAGAATCCTCACCATGATGAGCTGTTTCACATTCTGAGCCCCAGAGCCAAATTCATTCCTGTGCTCCCGACACCAGCTTAGCCGTCATAGAGAGCTAGGCCCTGCCCCAGCCCCAGAGCCACTGTAAATCTGTGCAAGCATGTACTCCTGTTCTTGGCCTCCTAGCTGTTTCACAAGCTACCAATGGGGCAGTGGTATGCCTGCTCCCCAGGCACCAGTGCTATATTTGCCCCGATCCCAGAGTGCAAGTCCCTCTACATAAGCCTCTGCTCAGGCATCACTAGTTTGATCATTCCATGGGTACCAATCATTAGACAACATTGCCTTGATCAGGCTGCAATCCAGACCAAATGCCAAAAGGGATCCTCTTAGCTACAACTTCCACAGTAAGAGAAAAAGAGATTGAGGTTACAGCAAACTAAAAGCTTCCACAAAGCAAAAGATAGAATCTTTGGTTGGGAGAATATAGTTGCAAACTATCTCTCTCTCTCTCTCTCTCTACATATATATATATCCAATAAGGGGTTAAGATACAAAATATACAAAAACTCAAGCCAGTCAGTGGTAGAAAAACAATCTGATTTAAAAATGGACACATTACCTGAGTAAACATTTCTCAAAAGAGGACATACAAATGGCCAACTGGTATATGTTAAATAAAAAGGCTCGATACCACTAATCATCAGCGACATGAACATTAAAACCACAATGAGGTATTACCTCACACCTGATAGAATGACTATTATCTAATGATGAAAGATAACAAGTGTTGCTAAGGATGTGGAGAAAACAGGACTGTTGGTGGGAAGCTAAGTTAGTACGGCCATTCTGAAAAACAATATGGAGGCTCCTCAAAAAATTAAAAAAAGAACTTTTAATTTTTTAATTAAAAAATTACAATCCAGCAGTCCCACTCCTGAATATATACATCCAAAGGAAATGAAATCAGTGTGTTGAAGAGCTATCTGCACTCACAGAGAACCTGTGCTACTTTACACAAATATTTATGATACTAGTGTATAAAATTATCTCCTAAATTGACTCAGGCAAACAATTCAACTTTTCTATTAATCCATGCACTCATTTATGTTATTTATTAGTGTAATTATTTAATATATACATGTTTATAAACACAAAAGGCTAAAACAGTATTCATTGTTTTTCACAAGTAATATTATCATCAAGATTTCTTAACCACAAAGGCTTCAGCATAAAAATATTCATAATTCCCATAAGATTAAAAACTCGACTTTCATCAAACCTTAAGTTATGTTTTTAAAACATTATAATTTTCTAGGGAGAGTTAATTTGAAATATCCAATATTTGTTAAAGATATAAATAGCAAATATAAGCATACATGTTTATATATGATTTTATTATTTGTATGCTCTTTTTTGTTAAATAAAACAATTAACATTGAGATGTTTCCTAATTACTTAAAACAAATCAAAAGATGGTACCTCATAGTAATTTTATTTTCATGAACTATTCTTATAACATTGTGGTCTTTTTGTTTTACTCTTTTCTGAAACATTCTTGTATCAGTCAGTTTAAGCAGAAAAAATTGAAAATACTTTAAACAAAGGAAATAGGTTTCCTTTTTTATGTAAATTATGATCTGTTGGTAATGGCCTTTTTTGCTATGTTTTGAATGATTTTTGGGTTGTGTCCAGGCTCAAAAGGAAATGATGCTGTGATCGATTTTCCAACAGGATTTTCCAGTTTTTACAGAGTGACATTATATGATGTATACGCCTTGAGGCAGTTTTTTTTTTAAAGGCAGAATTGCTGCATTTGAAAGAAGATAAACTCCTGACCATAATTGATTTGTCATTCTTATTTTTCCGTTTCTTGGAGTGTCTAAAGAACTGTTTTTAGGAAGGTATAATCTCAAATTTATCTCTAGTTGATATTAAATTATGTAAATAAAATAACCCAAACTGTTAAAAGCAATGTGATCAGATGTACCTTTTATATACATGTATATTATGTGTACATATACATATCTATACACATATGTGGCTCTTTATTGCACTTGGACTGTGTTATAGCAGTTAAAAGGTCACTGTGTTCAGCCTAAAATCTATGTAACATCTTTCTGAGCTTCCTTCCAACATTTTACTTACAGTGCTGTAGAAGAGTAGTGTCCATAGCCTTCAATTAAAGCTTGTAATTCTTGGAAAAAATTAACTTTATTTTTGAACCCCAGGAGTTTTTATAAATAATAAATAACTAAGCAGTTTTCAATAAAAAATGTACTCAATCAAAGAAAAAGTAGCAGTAGGTGGGGATCAGCAGAAAAAAATAAAAATATTGTTAACAGATTAACCAGGGCTACAGATCTATAGATACTAGGCATAAACACCATATATTAAATATTTGTATTTTTTTAAAAGGCAAGCTTTAAAATATTTTTAGTGAAAAGAACTGCATAAAAATGAGCATCCCAAATGAGTATGCTTGATAAAGTATTAAATGGACCTAAAAATTTAAAAAATGTATTAAAGGATTTAGACTTCTCCTGATGGCACAATAGTTTGTGTAGAATTAATAAGGAAAGAGAAAAATTAGAAAGTGGACTAAAAGGAAAACAAAAGTAGACAAGTCTCATCTGCTTGGGAGCATCAGAGGGAGTTAACATGACAGTGAAAAATTATCTAAGCAGGAGCTAGGAGATGATGGAATACAGGCAGGTCAGGCGAAATTTGGGAGTGGTTTATACCCTCACGACTTTGTCAAATTATACAGTATATGGCTGAAAAGCTGAGGTCGCTGAGATCAGCCTTCTGAGGCTAGTGCAGGATTTCTAAGCCTCAGTGCTATTTACATTTTGGACTAGATAATTCTTTGTTGACCTGGGTGGGGGATGCCCTGTGATTTGTATGATGATTAGCAATACTCCTAGCCTCTACCCATTAGATTACAGCAACATTCTCCCAATTGTGACAACCAATCAAATTGTCTCCAGGCATAGTCAAAATTTTCTTGGGGTTGTAGAGAAGAAGTGTGAAAACCCCTCAGCCCTCACATCCAACTCCCACACTCTCTGCCCCCAGTTTCCCCATCTCCTGCTTATTCCAGCCACTGGGCTAGAGGGACAGTTGTTGAAATCCAGGGCCCACCAAAAGAAGGGTCACTAGCGTAATCTTCTTGTTTCAGAATAGAAAGGCAAAGGGTTGCACCCTAAGAAACAGGGAACTAAAAATTCACAGGCTGTTTTAGACAGTTTGCTCCATTCCAAATCACCTCAATGCCTTGCTGGTTTGAAGTGTCCCCAGATGTCTAGTGCAAATTGGCAAATAGCTGAGAAAAGATTTAAAGTCTTCTATGAAAGAAAATAGCATTAAATTAAACCTCAAAATGTTTCTACAAACATAATTTTTAAGTGTTGTTGTTGTAATTTTAGATGTATTTGTAGATTCACATGACATTGCCAGAAATAAGAGACCTTTTATAAGCTTTACCTAGTTATCACTAATGGTAACCTTTTGCAAAATTATACTATAATGTCACAACCGGGATATTGACATTGATGCAATCCATTATTCAGATCTGCCAGTTTTACTTGTATTCATTTGTGTATGAGGTATGTATGTTTGTGTATTCATTTCTATGCTATTGGAGCACATATGTTGTTTCCGTATCCACCACAGGAGTCAAGAAAGAATAGTACTGTCATTATGCAGATCCCTACTATTAATAATTATAACCCGACCACCTCCTTCTAATACCCTCCCATCTCATACCTAACTTGACAACCACTGATCTGTTCTCTATTTCTATAATTTTGTTGTCTCAAAAATATTATGTCAGTGTAACATGTAATTTTTGTATGTAATTTTTTGACTTTTTTTTCCACTCAGTGTAAATTATTCAGATTCATCCTATTTCCTGTGTATTAGCAATAGTTCGTTCCTTCTTATTGCTAAATAATATTCCATGATGTGAAGTACCAGTTTCCTTTACCATTCACCGTTCAAACAACATCTGGATTGCTTACAGTTTCAGACTACTAACAATCAAGCTGCTACAAGAATTTGCATACAGGTTTTGTGTGAACATAAATTTCATTCATTCGGTATAAATAACTAAGAGTGTAATTTCTGGGCTACATGGGAAATTTTAAAAGAAACTCCAAAACTGTATTGCAAGATGACAGCACTATTTTACTTTACCAATAATGTGATCCAATGTCTCTGTTTCCTAACCAACATTTTATGTTTTTTATTATTTTTATTTTAGTTGTTCTGATTTTAATTTGTATTTCTCTAATGAGCAATAATGTTTAAAAATATTTTGTTTTCTTATTTGCCAACTATATATCTTCTATTTTGAAATGACTGTTTATGTCTCTTGCCCATTTTCTATTTTTTTAATTCTCTAATTTTTATTATTATTATTATTATTATTTGAGATGGCGTCTCTCTCTGTTGCCCAGGCTGGAGTGCAGTGGCGCGATCTCGGCTCACTGCAACCTCCGCCTCCCGGGTTCAAGCGATTCTTCTGGCTCAGCCTCCCAAGTACCTGGAACTACAGGTGCGCACCACCATGTCTGGCTAATTTTTTTGTAGTTTTAATAGAGACAGGGTTTCACCATATTGGCCAGGCTGGTCTCGAACTCCTGGCCTCATGATCCACCCACCTTGGCCTCCCAAAGTGCTGGGATTACAGGCATGATCCACTGCACCCAGACTATTCTCTAATTTTGAGAGATTTAAAATACACTCTAAATACTATTTATTTGTCAGACAGTTGGTACGCAAATATATTATCTAAGTCTATATTATCGATAATATATATTATATATAGGAATATATATAGTCTATATTATCTAAGTCTTTATCCTTCTCTTCTACTTTATTTATAGTCTAATAGTTGTTATTTTGTTCCTTCTGCTAACTTTGGACTAAGTTTTTTTTTTTTTTTTATCACTCCTCGAGGTATAAAGTTAGGTTTGCTGGTTGAGGTCTTTCTCCTTTTTAAATGTAGGCATTTATCACAATAAGCTTCCCTCTTAGTACTGCTTTTGCTGAATCCCATAAGCTTTGGAATGTTGTGCTTCATTTTCCTTTGTCTGGAAGTGTTTTCTAGTTTCGCTTTTTTCAGTGGTTGTTCAAAAGTAAGAGGGTCAATTTCCACGTCTGTGCATTTTCTAGTTTTCCTTCTCTGTTAGTTTCTAGTTTATTCCATTATGGTCGGAATAGATACTTGCTATGATTTCAATCTTCTTAAATTTATTAAGACTTGCTTTGCGATGCACATATAACTACACATATATATTATAATTAGATAAACATAATTGTATATATTTCTAATTTTTGTTTGTTTTGTTTTAGACGGAGTCTTGTTCTTGTTGCCCAGGCTGGAGTGCAGTGGTGCAATCTAGGCTCACTGCAACGTCCACCTCCTGGGTTCAAATGATTCTCCTGCCTCACCCTCCTGAGTAGCTGGGATTACAGGTGCCCGCCACCACACCCAGGAATTTTTGTATTTTTAGTAGAGACAGGGTTTCACCATGTTGGCCAGGCTGGTCTTGAACTTCTGACCTCAGGTGATCCACCCGCCTCGGCCTTCCAAAGTGCTGGGATTAAAGGCATAAGCCACCGCACCCAGCCAATTCTTTTTTTTATTTTTTGTTTTGGTAAGAACACTTAAGATGTACTCTTAGCAAATGTCAAGTATGCAATAAAATTATTATTAACCATATTTATCATGTCGTACATTAGATCTCTAGAACTTATTCATCTTGCATAACTGAAACTGTATCCTTTTGAGGTGAAGGGCGAAAATAGTGAGTTGTTGATCAAAGGGTATGTCCACAATTTCATTCTAAAATCAAGACAACACTTATTTTAAGATTTGATCATGTTGCATTTCACTGCTTGAACTTATCTGTAGCCAAGTATGGGTTATTATTGCCCAGGCTTTAGTTATTCACCCACTTTGTTTACTGGGGAAAAATGACTAGTACTATTAGTTCAAAATGTGGGATGAAATCTATTTGCATAGCTACCACTGTCCATTGCCTTATCTTTTTCCTGCTTCTAGAGCTGCTGCAGATCCCCTGGGCCTGCTTAACTTAGAATGTTGTACAGAACATGTTCTGTTTTTCTCTAAATAGAGACAGCACAGACCAATTTTGTTTAAAACAATGTACAAAATATAAAGATAATTTAAGGTATAAAAGGGAGGGAAATAAGACCTAAAGCAGTATGTTAAATGTGAGATGCCTCTCTAGATTTTAGAATGATGCCTATGAGTTAGAATTATTCCATGTGAACACATTTCCCCAACCATAGGTTTTCTGATATTGACATGGCTAAATTGTTCTCACTGATGACCCTTTTAAAATAGAAATACTTTAGCTTTTAAAAAAATGTAGAAACAGTGTGATCTTTTTAAATTCACATTTGTTCAACCTTATGATAAGAAATGGCTATAATTTAAACTTCCATTTAAAATTTAGGAAAGTATCTTTGGCAAAATGTATTTCTTTATTCTCATTTTATCTTTTTCTTTCATTCGAAGCACATTTGTTTCAGCGTGAATTGTATCTCCACCAAAAGATATATCAAAGGCCAAACATCCAGTGACTCAGAATTTGACCTTATTTGGAAATAGGGTCATTGTCATTGTAGATGTAATCAGTTAAGATGGGGTAATAACTAGAGAAATAGGGTCACGACAGATGTAATTAGTTAAGATGGGGTAATAACTGGAGTAAGGTGGGCACTTAATCTAATATGGCTGGTCCTTGTAAGAAGAGAAATATGGACACAGACACAGACACAGGGAAGAGGATCATAAGAAGATAGCGGTAGAGAGTGGAGTTGTACTGCACAAGTCAAAGAATGTCTAGGTCTACTAGCAGGTAAAAGAAGCTAGGAAGAATCCAACTCTCATGATTTTAGAGAGAAGGTGGTCCTGACAACAATTGACATTGAAATTTAAATTTCTAGCCTCCTTAACTGTGAGAGAAGAAATTTTTGTTCTTTTAAAGTATCTAGTTTCTTGTACTTTGCTATGATAGTTAAAAAAAAATAACTAATGCAACCTCTAACTGTATATCTCCCTTTTTTAAATTTAGTTACTCTATAGAGAAAAAAATTACCAGTTTTTTCTCATAAATATACTGTATGGATGAAATGTATTTATCCTTTGAAGCAGAAGAGGTGTCTCAATCATGATGATAAAGGGAGAAATTGTAGAATTAAAAAGGGCATCTTGAAAAAGGCCAAAAATATCTAGTCCAGCTTCAAATTATTGCATTCAGATTTTCTTGCTTTCCAATGTAATATAAAGTTTCTGATTGTGTATGTGACAATTAGGGCAATGACATTACTTAGTATAATTAAACTACTCCAAAATATATGTAGATAAGGTCCAAACATTTATACTGGTTGCAAAATGAATTCTTAGCAGGTGTTTTACATTTTCACTTGCATGGAATTGTCAAATTTAAGGAGAAAATAGGTAACTCACTCACTATTGGTGTCTTAGTCATGATGTTATTCAATTATTCATCATGCCACCATTTCAGCTGATAGAAAGGTGTTAGATTCTCTCTTTTAAAAAATCAAATCCCTGATCTATCAAACAAACACATCTTCTGTCTTTTTCTATGCCACCAGTCTTGCAGAAACTTCTAACTATCCTTCTATGAATCAAGAAAGTAATACCCAAGAGCAATTCTTCTCCCACTTCAACTGTCAGGAAAGATAACAGTTGACAGAGCAGTAGCTAAAACATACTCTGTATATATTTGAAGTATCTTAAATCAACCATGGTTTACTGCATATTGCTGCTGTGTCCATATGTCTGAAAAAGCCCAATGGCCTTGATGTAGTTAAATAAATATTATTTACCTATACAAGAGATTACAGACAAACACACATAAAAAATACAACTTGTGTCAAAAGACCGGACTTCATTTATTATTTTGTCATGTGACAATCAGTACAGGGCTTAAATATCACTGCAGTCCAAATGACACAATAAATTTGCCTCACATAGATAAAATAAGAAAGAAGTTTTGAGTCACGGATCCTGCTAAATATTGTTTAAAGTGTGTTTGTTAGTGTTCATTTGAATCAACTAAGGGAGGAATACACATTTGCTTTCTAACTGTACAGCTCACATTAAAAGTATTCACTTGAAAGTATCATGTACTTTAACATGAAAGTGCCACTTATTACATAGTTGAACCATGTTTATTTTAAAATATTTTCCCTAGATTTTTTTCTTTCTGTTGCTTTTTCTATGTTGGTCCTTCCACTAGTGGTATAGTTAAACATTAAGCTTCAGCATAATATGCATCTGCTTGTCTTGATTCCTGCTTTGTAAATGTTTAATTTTCATTCTGTTCTGTCTTCTGAAACAATATTTAATCTAAAAATTTTCAGAGGTTGAATATGCATAATGCAGTAATCACACAGTTTAACATTTTCTAGCAGAAAGATCAAGTGACACACCATTTATACTAAATATATAGATTTCTTTCCTATGCTTGTCATCATGAAAACTCTTAAGATTGGGATAAGTGATAAAAGCAATTCTCTGTCAGTTGGGATAATTTTTCATATCTTTTAAATCACAGTACTCCTTAGTGATAAAACTAAACTTACAAGGTTAAGAATTAATTTTTAGGCTGCTAGCAAGTAAGTGTTTTACTTTACTTCCTAGATAAATATTAATAGAAAAATATTCTTTTAAAGTTTTAGTCTACAAGGACAGACTCTATCTTAATGAAAGAATAAAAACAAGTGTATACCAAAAACATGAAATTAAGTGATATCAAATTTAAACTTAGGAAATTTAAATGTGAAGATTCTTAGCTAGATATCACAGTACAGACATATCTCAGAGATGCTGAGTTCAATTTCAGACAACTACAATAAAGTGAAGATTACAATAAAGTAGGTACACAAATTTTTCAGTTTTCTAATGTGTACAAATGTGTCTTTATAGTATTCTGAAGTATATTAACTGAGCAATAGCATAATGTCTAAAACTATGTACATGTCTTAATTAAAAAATACGTTATTGCTAAAAAAAGCTAATGATCATCTGAGTCTTCATTTAACCTAATCATTCTGCTGGTAGAGTGTCTTGCCTTGAGGTTGATGGCTGCTGATGGATAAGGGTGGTGGTGCTGAAGGTAAGGATGGCTGTGGCAATTTCTGAATATAAGACAATAATATTTGTGACAGCAATTGACTCTCCCTTTCATGAAAGATGTATCTAGCATGTGTTACTGTTTCATAGCATTTTACCCACATAACTTCTTTAAAAATTGGTATCCATCTTCTCAAGCCAGGTTGATCAATTAAGTTTATGTAATATCCTCAATCCTTTGTTGTCATTTCCACAATGTTAACAGTATCTTCACCAAGGGTAGATCCCATCTCAAGAAACCACTTTTTTACTAATTTATAAGAAGCAAATCCTTATGTGTTAAAGTTTTATCATAAAATTACAGCAATCTAGTCACATCTTTAGGCTCTACTTCTAATTCTAGTTATCTTGTTATTTCCACTAAATCTGGAGTTACTTCCTTCACTGAAGTTTTGAACTCTACAGTCATCATCCACTCTGCAAATTCCTGTTCATATTTTGGTCTTCTTTCATGAATCATGGGTGTTCGTAATGTAACCTCCTGAACATTTTAATTTGAGTTCTTGCGTTACTAAGTATATTGCCATTGATCGGTAATATTTTCAATGGGATCTTTTCATGTTCTGAGCAGTAGGTCTCAACAGTGGGCTTAAAATGTTCAGTAAACTGTGATATAAACAGATGTGGCATGATCTGGGCCATTTTTCTTCCATTTGGGCCATTATTGTTCCATTTATAGAGCACAGGCAGAGTAGATTTAGCATAATTCTTAAGGGCCCTAGAATTTTCAGGATGGTAAGTGAGTACTGGCTTCAACTGAAAGTCACCAGCTGCATTAGCCCCTAGCAAGAGAGTCATCCTGGTTTTTGAAGTTTTGTAGCCAGGCATTGACTTCTTCTCTCTAGCTATGAGGGCATTAGAAGACATCATTTTCCAATAGAAGGCTGTCTTGTCTACACTGAAAATCTGCTGTTTAGCATAGCCACTTTCATCAATTATCTTCGCTAGATCTTCTGCATAACTTGCTGCAGCTTCTACCTCAGCACTTGCTGCTTCACGTTACACTTTTATGTTACAGCAATGGTTTCTTTTTTGAAACTTTATGAGCAAACATCTGCTGGATTAAAACTTTTCTTCTGCAGATTCCTCAGCTTTCTCTCTGTATAGAATGAAAAAGAGTTAGGGCTTTTGTCTGGATTAAGATTTGGCTTCAGGGAATGATGTGGCTGGTATGATATTTTATCCAGACACACTAAATCTTTCTCTATATCAGCAATAATGCTGTTTCCCTTTCTTTTCATTTATGTGTTCACTGGTGTAACACTTTTATTTTTTTCAAGAACTTTCTGTTGGCATTAACAGCTGTGTTTTTTGGTACAAGAGACCTAGCTTTCAGCCTGCCTGTTTTCTGCATGTCTTCCTCACTGAACTTAATCATTTCTAGCTTTTGATTTAAAATGAGAAGCATGTGACTTTTCTTTTCACTTGAAGAGTTAGAGGCCATTGTAGGGTTATTAACTGGCCCAACTTCAATATTGTTGTGTATTTTCTCACTTGAAGACTTAGAGGGTGCTGTAAGATTACAAATTGGCCCAATTTTAATATTGTTCATCTCAGGAAATAGAAAGGCTCAAGAAGTGGGAGAGAGGTGGGGGAATGGCTGGCCAGCAGAGCAGTGAGAACACACACCACATTTATTGATGAAGTTCACAGTCATATGGGTGGAGGTTTGCAGCTCCCCAAACAATCACAACAATGCCACCAAAGATCAGTGATCACAGAACATGATAAAAATATCATAATAATGAAAAAGTTTGAAATATTATGAGAATTACCAAAATGTGACAGAAAATCATGAAGTGAGCACATAATGTGGGAAAAATAGTTCCAATAGATTTGCCAAACACCAGGTTGCCACAAACCTTCACTTTGTAAAAAACACAGTATCTGCAAAGTTCAATAAAGCAAAGTACAATAAAACAAGGTATTCCAGTTGATCAGAAAGGGACATTGAAAACATTTTTAAGATAGTAGTTTTAGTTTTAGTATTGACATCCTTAATGCTTATATATTACATATTAGCAATAATTTTTTAAATGGGAGGTATTTATTTATAATTATAAGCAGGATCCTGGCATATGAATACCTAAGTCATGATCATTACTTATATGATTAACAAAAACAGAGTCTTATTAGACCGTGTGTTAAGGAGTAAATCTGGAAGCTTTTGTAAAACTCACATATATTCAGGAGGCTAGTCTTTTCTATAGTTCTTTTTATGGTTTTAAAGTTTGAATACATACAAAATAAGATTTAAAAAACAGGGTGGCTACAGAAACCCTGTCTCTCCTAAAAGTACAAAATTAGCTGGGCGTGGTGCTGCATGCCTGTAATCCCAGATACTAGAGAGGCTGAGGCAGGACAACTGCTCGAACCCAGAGGCAGAGGTTGTGGTGAGCTGAGATCACACCATTGCACTCCAGCCTGGGCAACAAGAGCAAAATTCCATCTAGAAAACAAAACAAAAAAACAGCGTGGTTAAATACTATAGTTGAACTTAAAGGCAAGTCCTGTATAGAATATTGAACGTTTGCTCTCTCATGATTCCCAAGTCTGGAGCCCTTGTTGTGCATCATAGATAAGTAGAAGAGTGTTATTTCACTCACAAAATCCTAACAAACTGTTAATCTGAAAGTCTGATCATTTGGAGTCTAACTTTCTGGGACTCATTGACTCCCTTTTCCTGGTAATCTAGCATAAAGATGGTTTCTATTGCAATCATGCTCAGGTGGCTCAAAATAAATATAGAGGGATTTCATTTAAAAAAACTCAGGCATTTTGTGCTCCTTAGAAACAGCCATAAACTTGCCACCTGCTTTCCTGTATCAGTGATTGATTGGTCAAGATGAAAACTACAATGGTTTATTGTTCATATACAAGGTAGATCTTTCCACATTGGTCATAAAAGAAGAAGCTTCAGTCTTCCTACATGTTGCATTTGTCCCCAAATGTATTTTCTGCAAAAGACTTAGTCAACTCACAAGGGGTCCTAGTTATATCATAGTAGAATACGGGCCTCTACAAAGTTGTTTTCATAACTTTTCTTCTATGCATTCCAATTTATGGGAAAAATAAATATAGGTGTTAGATAAGAATCAAATTCTGGTTCTGATAGTACATGTGGAGTAGAAAGCATACCTTAGATGGGTAGCTAAAATTGAGTTTTTAAGCATTCCCCTCATTTACAGATTTTGGAATCCTTCTTTAGCAGTAATGGTGACTCAATCCATCCCACTGCAGGGGTAATTGCAGCAGCAAAACAAGAGATTTTCCTTTTTAACAACTTCTAGAAAAAATTATTAACTAACAATCAAAGGGAGAAGAAAGAAGTTCTAAAGCATGCATATGCATATTTTAATCTCCAATATCAGATAAAGGTAATAACATTAACAAATAAATGAAAATTTATAGTTGAAAATGGTTTATTTTATTACAGCATATCATATAGAATAATTTATAGTGAAAAAATGTTTTTAAAATGTTTTGTTTCTGAAAAAAACAAAATTTAAAGATAGGGCTACATAATTTGTTGGTGATGTTACTATGCCCTCAGAAAACCAAAGAAAAGCAAATGCAAAATACATGTATCTACCTTTTTAAAAAGCTATTTTGCAAGCTGATTATAAAAGTTAATGACATACCTATATACCAATTATTGTAGTTAAATCATATTTTCAATACCAACAAAATACATATCAAGAGATATACCTATCAAATGGTTTCTAAGAGAAAGTTAGAAAAAAAGCAAATGGACAAAAATAAATAAATTTTAAAAACTATGTAATTTACAGGCAGGAAATTTGAATTATGAAAAGCACTATGAAAAGTCAATAAATTGGATAACTCCATAATATCAATTATTTCTCAATTATTCCATGAATTAAATATAATCCAAATCAAAACAGCATAAATCAGAGAGTGGCTGATGCTGATCAACTCTGCTTAGAGACAGCATTTTAAATTGCAGGTTTTCTGGAAATGTACACAGGTGAAAATAACTAAGAAACTTCAAGAAACGAATAAAAGTAATGGGATCAAGTAGGAGGCAAGGAGGCAATAGCACTCAGGGGTTACCTCAAAACTTAAGTCATGTAAAGGGGGGTATCATATAATGATCCTGGTATCCAGGCATCTATGACATCATCCTCTATCTCTTATCACAAATGTGTTAGACTGGATGGAGAATGACTTTGACGAGCTGAGAGAAGAAGGCTTCAGACGATCAAACTACTCTGAGCTACAGGAGGAAATTCAAATCAATGGCAAAGAACTTAAAAACTTTGAAAAAAAATTAGATGAATGGATAACTAGAATAACCAACACAGAGAAGTCCTTAAAGGAGCTGATGGAGCTGAAAGCCAAGGCTCAAGAACTACATGAAGAATGCAGAAGCCTCAGGAGCCAATGCGATCAACTGGAAGAAAGGGTATCAGTGATAGAAGACGAAATGAATGAAATGAAGCAAGAAGGGAAGTTTAGAGAAAAAAGAATAAAAAGAAACGAACAAAGCTTCCAAGAAATATGGGACTATGTGAAAAGACCAAATCTACGTCTGATTGGTGTACCTGAATGTCACAGGGAGAATAGAACCAAGCTGGAAAACACTCTGCAGGATATTATCCAGGAGAACTTCCCCAATCTAGCAAGGCAGGCAAACATTCAGATTCAGGAAATACAGAGAACACTACAAAGATACTCCCCGAAAAGAGCAACTCCAAGACATATCAAAATGACAGGACCAAATACACACATAACAATATTAACTTTAAATGTAAATGGGCTAAATGCTCCAATTAAAAGACACAGACTGGCAAATTGGATAAAGAGTCAAGACCCATCAGTGTGCTGTATTCAGGAAACCCATCTCACGTGCAGAGACACATATAGGCTCAAAATAAAGGGATGGAGGAAGATCTACCAAGCAAATGGAAAATAAAAAAAGGCAGGGGTTGCAATCCTAGTCTCTGATAAAACAGACTTTAAACCAACGAAGATCAAAAGAGACAAAGAAGGCCATTACATAATGGTAAAGGGATCAATTCAACAAGAAGAGCTAACTATCCTAAATATATATGCACCCAATACAGGAGCACACAGATTCATAAAGCAAGTCCTGAGTGACCTACAAAGAGACTTAGACTCCCACACAATAATAATGGGAGACTTTAACACCCCATTGTCAACATTAGACAGATCAACGAGACAGAAAGTTAACAAGGATACCCAGGAATTGAACTCAGATCTGCACCAAGCGGACCTAATAGACATCTACAGAACTCTCCACCCCAAATCAACAGAATATACATTTTTTTCAGCACCACACCACACCTATTCCAAAATTGACCACATAGTTGGAAGTAAATCACTCCTCAGCAAATGTAAAAGAACAGAAATTATAACAAACTGTCTCTCAGACTACAGTGCAATCAAACTAGAACTCAGGACTAAGAAACTCACTCAAAACCACTCAACTGCATGGAAACTGAACAACCTGCTCCTGAATGACTACTGGGTACATAACGAAATGAAGGCAGAAATAAAGATGTTCTTTGAAACCAACGAGAACGAAGACACAACATACCAGAATCTCTGGGACACATTCAAAGCAGTGTGTAGAGGGAAATTTATAGCACTAAATGCCCACAAGAGAAAGCAGAAAAGATTCAAAATCGACACCCTAACGTCAAAATTAAAAGAACTAGAAAAGCAAGAGCAAACACATTCAACAGCTAGCAGAAGGCAAAAAATAACTAAAATCAGAGCAGAACTGAAGGAAATAGAGACAAAAAAAAAAATCCTTAAAAAAATTAATGAATTAAGGAACTGGTTTTTGAAAAGATCAACAAAATCGATAGACCGCTAGCAAGACTAATAAAGAAGAAAAGAGAGAAGAATCAAATAGATGCAATAAAAAATGATAAAGGGGATATCACCACCGATCCCACAGAAATACGAACTACCATCAGAGAATACTACAAACACCTCTATGCGAATAAACTAGAAAATCTAGAAGAAATGGAAAAATTCCTTGACACATACACTCTCCCAAGACTAAACCAGGAAGAAGTTGAATCTCTGAATAGACCAATAACAGGCTCTGAAATTGTGGCAATAGTCAATAGCATACCAACCAAAAAAAGTCCAGGACCAGATGGATTCACAGCTGAATTCTACCAGAGGTACAGGAGGAGCTGGTATCATTCCTTCTGAAACTATTCCAATCAATAGAAAAAGAGGGAATCCTCCCTAACTCATTTTATGAGGCCAGCATCATCCTGATACCAAAGCCGGGCAGAGACACAACAAAAAAAGAGAATTTTAGACCAATATCCTTGATGAACATTGATGCAAAAATCCTCAATAAAATACTGGCAAACCGAATCCAGCAGCACATCAAAAAGCTTATCCACCATAATCAAGTGGGCTTCATCCCTGGGATGCAAGGCTGGTTCAATATATGCAAATCAATAAATGTAATCCAGCATATGAACAGAACCAAGGACAAAAACCACATGATTATATCAATAGATGCAGAAAAGGCCTCTGACAAAATTCAACAACCCTTCATGCTAAAAACTCTCAATAAATTAGGTATTGATGGGACGTATCTCAAAATAATAAGAGCTATCTATGGCAAACCCACAGCCAATATCATACTGAATGGGCAAAAACTGGAAGCATTCCCTTTGAAAACTGGCACAAGACAGGGATGCCCTCTCTCACCACTCCTATTCAACGTAGTGTTGGAAGTTCTGGCCAGGGCAATTAGGCACTAGAAGGAAATAAAGTGGATTCAATTAGGAAAAGAGGAAGTCAAATTGTCCCTGTTTTCAGATGACATGATTGTATATCTAGAAAACCCCATTGTCTCAGCCCAAAATCTCCTTAAGCTGATAAGCAACTTCAGCAAAGTCTCAGGATGCAAAATCAATGTACAAAAATCACAAGCATTCTTATACACCAATAACAGACACACTGAGAACCAAATCATGAGTGAACTCCCATTCACAATTGCTTCAAAGAGAATAAAATACCTAGGAATCCAACTTACAAGGGATGTGAAGGACCTCTTCAAGGAGAACTACAAACCACTGCTCAATGAAATAAAAGAGGATACAAACAAATGGAAGAACATTCCATGCTCATGGGTAGAAAGAATCAATATTGTGAAAATGGCCATACTGTCCAAGGTAATTTATAGATTCAATGCCATCCCCATCAAGCTACCAATGACTTTCTTCACAGAATTGGAAAAAACTACTTTAAAGTTCATATGGAACCAAAAAAAGAGCCCGCATCACCAAGTCAATCCTCAGCCAAAAGAACAAAGCTGGAGGCATCATCCTACCTGACTTCAAACTATACTACAAGGCTACAGTAACCAAAACAGCATGGTACTGGTACCAAAACAGAGTTATAGATCAATGGAACAGAACAGAGCCCTCAGAAATAACGCCACATATCTACAACCATCTGATCTTTGACAAACCTGACAAAAACAAGAAATGGGGAAAGGATTCCCTATTTAATAAATGGTGCTGGGAAAACTGGCTGGCCATATGTAGAAAGCTGAAACTGGATCCCTTCCTTACACCTTATACAAAAATTAATTCAAGATGGATTAAAGGCTTACATGTTAGACCTAAAACCATAAAAACCCTAGGAGAAAACCTAGGCAATACCATTCAGGACATAGGCATGAACAAGGACTTCATGTCTAAAACACCAAAAGCAATGGCAACAAAAGCCAAAATTGACAAATGGGATCTAATTAAACTAAAGAGCTTCTGCACAGCAAAAGAAACTACCATCAGAGTGAACAGGCAACCTACAAAATGGGAGAAAATTTTTGCAATCTACTCATCTGACAAAGGGCTAATATCCAGAATCTACAATGAACTCAAACAAATTTACAAGAAAAAAACAAACAACCCCATCAAAAAGTGGGCAAAGGATATGACCACACACTTCTCTAAAGAAGACATTTGTGCAGCCAAAAAACACATGAAGAAATGTTCATCATCACTGGCCATCAGAGAAATGCAAATCAAAACCACAGTGAGATACCATCTCACACCAGTTAGAATGGCAATCATTAAAAAGTCAGGAAACAACAGGTGCAGGAGAGGATGTGGAGAAATAGGAACACTTTTACACTGTTGGTTGGACTGTAAACTAGTTCAACCATTGTGGAAGTCAGTGTGCCGATTCCTCAGGGATCTAGAACTAGAAATATTATTTGACCCAGCCATCCCATTACTGGGTATACACCCAAAGGATTAGAAATCATGCTGCTATAAAGACACATGCACAGGTATGTTTATTGCGGCACTGTTCACAATAGCAAAGACTTAGAACCAACCCAAATGTTCAACAACGATAGACTGGATTAAGAAAATGTGGCACATATACACCATGGAATACTATGCAGCCACAAAAAATGAAGAGTTCATGCCCTTTGTAGGGACATGGATGAAACTGGAAACCATCATTCTCAGCAAACTATCGCAAGGACAAAAAACCAAACACTGCATGTTCTCACTCATAGGTGGGAATTGAACAATGAGAACACATGGACACAGGAAGGGGAACATCACACTCCAGGGACTTTTGTGGGGTGTGGGGAGTGGGGAGGGATAGCATTAGGAGATATACCTAATGCTAAATGACGAGTTAATGGGTGCAGCACACCAACATGGCACATGTATACATATGTAACAAACCTGCACATTGTGCACATGTACCCTAAAACTTAAAGTATAATAATAATAATAAAAATAAAATTAAAAAAAAGAAAACCAATGCCTTGTTGTAACAATACAGGGGCATACTATTTGTTTTCTGATTATTTAAATTTAGTAGAACACAAATAAACCAACGGTTAAGAATCCAAATTCATTACGCTTCTAGAATTCTGAGAAATTAATAAACAGCAAAACTGGTGGCTGCAAAATTTCCTGCAGTCACTTGAAAGTTAAGGTTGGCGTAATATCAAAATTTGTAAACTGAGCCTGGATTTTCCTGAAGGAGTCCCTTAATCTTAAATAAGTCCCTTAATGTGAGCCATGTATCGGGAGTGTTGACATGCTGAAAAGGGCCCAACTTGTTTTTATGCCAATTCAGCATTAAAAGGAACGTGCTCACTGAAGTTATGCATGAAGTGGCCCTGTGAGGCAGTTATATTGTCCAGTTTTTATTCCAAAGCAAAGAAGAACCATGTTCTTTTTTAAGTACATTAAGAAAAATAATTTGAATGGTGTCTTGGTTTGTCTTGAAATTCAACATATTGGGGACTCAGAGGGAATTTGCACAATATAAGTCAGAAAGTGGTGAATCGTTAATAATAAAAGGAACTATTTTCTAGGAGATCTTTGGTGGCACTCACATAATTTTGCATATTCTTACTATGTGACTATTATTTGTGTAAATAATCTGACTAAACTAAACTAAGAATTCTCTCCCTATAAAGTTTGTGAGAAACAAACAATCCTCTTGCTGATATATGTTTATAAATACCCTAGAGTGGGAAAAAAAACTAAATAGGCCGCTCCTCCATTTTTTAACTATTAATGAGGTGTTTATTTATTTAAATATAATGCATAAAGTCCAAACAATTTTCTCTTTCTTTTACACTCCCGTTTCTGATTCTCTGTGAGTAACTAAAACTACTGTCAAGCCATGATGAGATACAGGAAATTAACTTTCCTGTTTGACAGCTGTGTGATCCTTAATATCAGAAGCCAATTAGGTAAGAAGAGAAGAGAGATGACATAACCGGGTAAAAGGAAAGCTGGTTTCATTGGCAGCCAGAAAATGCCATAATTTATAAACATATATTTATCTTGAAATTGCATATTTTAATATTGCATGCTTATTGTTAAATTACAAATTGACTTCTATGTTTAATTTATATCATTTAAAAATCTTTTATTTCTTATTCAGTAGCAAAGACTAAAAGAAAATTTTTAAATTATTTTCCCCCGGGGATCTCAGAGAAATTTTGGCAATCATTAAATGAACAAAAATGGCATGATAGAATAGAAATAGTTTTTGACTGTCTGCAGATATTTAAATAACACAAATGCTGTCTGGTTATAATGGATTATTTTAGACTTGATTCTTAGAGAACAAAGGGAATCAGCCCAGAGTCACTTACTGCAAAGTGCTGTAGAATATAATAGTTGACAGGAAAATCATTCTTCAAGAATATATCCCTGGGTGAAAGCTCTGAGAGTGACTCCAGGAAATACAGAGCCAACTGCTTTCCATAAAGCTACTACATTTATGATCACCTGGAGAGACTAAAGCACCAAATGCAACATTCCTGCTGTGAGTGCCTTCATAGTAAAAGCAGAGAAATTGAAAAAATAGGCAGAAGTATGATGTTCATATTTAAATGCTGAGTATGTTTAAAATAAGCATTGTAATATATGTTTGTCCTTAATTATTCATTTAGTAATTTAATCATCTCCATTTAGTTATTTGCTTAATGAACTATACCCATTTATTGAGCACATTTCATTTGCTTCTAGTCTCTGTGCGAGTCACAGGCATAACAAAGATAAATATAATGTTGATTCTGCTTCCAGGGCCACTCAATCAGTGGGAGGAATGACTACTTAAATCACCAAATAAATGCAATGCACTGGAGGATATAAAAGAAACTGAATTGTGAAATCAAAAGAGAGAAGACAACCTAGAAGAGCAAGGGTGATTAGGTAAGACCTCACAGAAGAACCAAATGTGGGCCTTAAATAAAATAATAATATAAATTGCATATAATGGCATATAATTTCAGTCTACCTGGACTTCCTACTCAGGAATTAGAATTTATCTTAGAATATTCAGGAATCTGAAATACTCTTTGCAGTGTGTCAGAATGAATTGAGTCTTTCTTCTTATTAATATATAAAATTATTGATACAGCTGGGCCTGGTATAATACAATACTCAAGATATTGGGGGAGTTGAACTAAATACAATCCTACTGAATCAAATAAAATATATTTGAGTGCTCTCAGTGTATTTTTCAGCTGCATTTCAATTGTGTCTTCTATTCCTGATAGTCTTAGAAAACAGATATTATAGACAGAATAATGAACCCTGCCCAAAATAGCCATCTCCTGAGCCATGGAACCTCTAAATATGTTACTTTACATGAAAAAAGGACTTTGCATATTTAATAAAATTAATGATCCTGAAATAAAGGGTTATCCTGGATTATGTGGGTAGATCATTGTAATCGCAAGGTAGAATGGCAGGAGACTAGTTTCAGAATGATGCCATGTGAGGACTCTAGCAGGCAGGGACTACACAAGCTAAGAAATGCAGACGGCCTCCAGAAGCTGGAAAAGGAAAGAGAAGAGTCTGCACTGTTCTAGAGTCTTCAGGAGGAAATAGGCCACCACCGTGTTTTCCACCCAGGACACCCATTTTAGATTTCTAAACATCCAGAACAGTAAGACATCAGTGTTGTTTTAAGCCACTAAGTTTGTAGTAATTTGTTATGGTAATAATGAGAAACAAATACAATAAATTCTACTGAGAATGTTTTGTATAAAAGATTATAATTACTGTTTATCTTTTCACTCACCAGTTTTAAAAATGTATGTTTTTTTAACCAATAATAAGGAATAGAATATTTTAAAAATGTTAAAAGAGCTGTAAATTGAATAAAAGTCTTCCTACCACTGAACATAAACTGCTTAATTCATAGGAATATTTGTCTATCTATCTATCTAATCTATCTATATCATCTATCTATCTATCTATCTATCTATCTATCTATCTATCTATCATCTATCTACTTTTCAAGGCCTTATTTATGCAGAAATATACTGTTTATAAACGTTGTCTAAATTGATAACATGTTTTCATTTTTTTTATGAGACGGAACCTCGTTCTGTCGCCCAGGCTGGAGTGCAGTGGCACGACCTTGGCTCACTGCAGCCTCCGCCTCCCAAGTTAAAGCCATTCTCCTTCCTCAGCCTTCAGAGTAGCTAGAATTAGAGGCGCCCGCCACCACACCCAGCTAATTTTTTATTTTTAGTAGAGATGGGGTTTCACCATGTTGGCCAGGCTGGTCTCCAGCTCCTGACCTCAGGTGATCCGCTTGCCTAGGCTTCCCAAAGTGCTGGGATTACAAGCGTGAGCCACAGTCCCGGGCCAGATAACATTCTTTTTAAAGTACATCTGAGTACTCAGTCATCTAATCACATTTATGATCATTTAAAAATATACATTCACCATTGACAGTATTTACAGGAAAGAACTCTTCTCTATGTAAATAAGCAATGCTATTTAACACTGATTTCTGTACAACAAATGGGTAGAATAACAATAAAAGTCAATGAAATAACATTGTGATTTACATTAGGTGCCGACATTTTACTAATTTGAGGTCCTGTGAAAGTTTTGATTATTTAAAAGATATCACAGTCCAAAAACAGAGAACTGTAAAGTTCTCGTTTGGTTTACTTTGTCATCCTTGCTGCATAGAAACGGCTATATAATAATTTCAGCATAATACTTAAGGTACACAATCTCTTATTTTATGACCATTTAAGAAGCCTGTGAAGGGATCTTAGCAATGTGCTTACATAGCCTTAAGGCTTTGTGAGTTTTGAGAAAGTAGAATACTTTAACCACAATTACCTGACTCCACAATGGCCTGGATTTTTTTACCTCTTTCTACTCCTCTAAAAAAAAAGATTTCTACGGCTGGTTGCAGTGGCTCACGCCTGAAATCCCAGCCCTTTGGGAGGCCGAGGAGGGCGGGTCACGAGGTCAGGAAATCAAGACCATCCTGGCTAACACGGTGAAACCCCGTCTCTACTAAAAATACAAAAAATTAGCCGGGCGTGGTGGCGGGCGCTTGTAGTCCCAGCTACTCGGGAGGCTGAGGCAGGAAAATGGCGCGAACCCAGGAGGCGGAGCTTGCAGTGAGCCGAGATCGCGCCACTGTACTTAAGCCTGGGGGACAGAGCGAGACTCCATCTCAAAAAAAAAACAAAAAAAAAAAAAAAATAGATTTTTACCTATTTCTACTCCAATTTCTCTACTGTGACACTTTCTCTTGTGTTGAGTAGTGTTGAATTGATTGCAAGAATTTTGGGACATAGCTAAGAGAAAGTTTAGCTGAATGAGGATACTTAGTATATATAGGCTTTAGGAAATACACTTATTGATTCATTCTCACTTCTACAGATGCTTATATTAGTCAAGAAAAAAGATAGATAATGAAGACATCAAAACAAAAGAGGTAATACGTTAAAGAAAATCAGCAGAGTAAAGAGATAAACAACAAAGCAAAAGTAATGTGAAAGTAAAAGTAAAGAAAAATACAACTTTTATAGTCAATAACAAATTCAGTTAGATAAGTGTATTGTTTTGAAAACTGCCATGGACCCTCGTTATGGCTTTATGCAATACATATGAAACCAAAATGTAGGGACAATTTTTAAAATATAGAGAATATAAGGGAGTTAATTAGAAGCAACATTGATATTTTTCTGTATTATTATCTGTTTCAAGAAAAAAATGTTCAATATCACTAATCACTAGGGAAATGCAAATTAAAACAATGATATACCATCTCACAGCAATCAAAATGGCTATTATTAAAAAGTCAAAAAAGTGGCTGGCCAGGTGTCAGATAAAAGGAAATGCCTATATACTGATGGTGGGAATGAAAATTAGTTCAGCCACTGTGGAAATCAGTCGGGAGATTTCTCAAATAACGTAAAACAAAACTACCATTTAACCCAGCAATCCCATTTCTGGGTATATACCCAGAGAAATAGAAATTATTCTACCTTAAAGACACATACATGCATATATTCACCACAGCATTACTCACAATAGCAAAGACATGGAATCAACATTGGTGTCTATCAGTGGTGGACTGGATACAGAAATGTGGTACATTTGCACCATGGATTACTATGCATCCAAAAAAAATAATGAAATTATGTACTTTGCAGCAATTGGGATGGAGCTGGAAGCCATTATCCTAAGCAAATTAATGCAGGAATAGAAAACCAAATTTGGCATTTTCTAATTTATAAGTGGGAGCTGAACATTGAGTACACATGGGAAAAAGGAGAGAGCTATAGACATCGTGGCCTATTTGAAGTACAAGGAGGGTGAAGACTAAGAAACTGCCTATCAGGTATTATGCTGATTAGTTAGGTAAGAAAATTATTTGTACACCAAACCCCTGTGACATATAATTTACTCACATAACAAACCTGCACATGTACTCCTTGAACCTAAAAAAGTAGGCAATTTTTAAAAATTTCTTACTTTATGAAATTTGTCATTGTTAATTTATTTGTATTCAAGAATAATTTATTTTGAAACTAATTTTGTTTGTTGTCTTATATTATGTGTCTTCAAAATTAGACTCTAAATGTATAATTGTTAGGCCCTTATAAAAATCTGAATCTGGCCCTAGCTGATATTAAAAAACAATCATTTAACATAATAGATTAGATTTTGATGAGGGAAAAATGAGTGACTGACAAAAAGTTTAAGGTGTCAATGGATAAAAAAGAGATGGAAGATCCAAGTGGAAAATCTTTCTCTGAAAAGACAAAAAGGTTTGCAACGACTCCCAAAGTTTAAAAACAGAGGTTATCCACTAGTGAGCATAACTGTAGAAGATTGTATTATTATAATGGAACCAAAAAGCAACTTTCCAGTCCCTTTATGTACTCTGAAACAACTTGAGATGCATAAATCAAGAAAGACCTAAGTACTGAATGTGGATTTTTACAACGTTATTTCTTGTGGTTATTAATAATAAACCCTTTTGGAACATTACATTCCTCTCCTTTCCAAGAGTGCTTTAGGGCATGGGTGTACTGATACTATTAAATTGTAAACTCTAACTGATACATCAGGACAAGTCTGAATCACATCTGCACCACTCTTATTGTATCTCCAGCAACAAACATTACACCTGACAAAAAATCAAAATTAAGAAGATAATAATAAAGACTTGGATGAAGTTGTAATGGATCAGAAGAGACATACAGAATAATACTGAGGAATCTAAATGGCCCACAGGCCCAACCAGGCCTTGTACAATAACATAAACTATAAATAGATGAATAAAGATATACTTCAGTTGAGAAAAAGGTTTGGTCCCATTGGAAGGGTAGACAGAATCACAGAGGGAATGATATACACCAGGAATGTATTACAGGGTACAGAGCTGTGTCTCCCAGGATAATAGCTACTAAAAGCTCTAACATCATACAACAAATTGATCATGCTTTCTGCTTATGCTTATCAAGCATGGTCTAACAGGAAAATCTAAGTTAAATGCAGTAAGTGTGATTCTTCGTGGGAGGTAACACCTCCCAGTTGTGTCAGATACATTTTAATTCTCCAATTTCTGAATCTGTCAAAATCAGAGTTATGAACATGTTAATGATGAATTAATAAGACAAATGGCTACTGAGTTTTGAAAGCTCTTGACAGACAGCAATTTCTTTCTTCTGCAGCAGCATTATAACCATATTTCTATTATTTAGGGAAAAAGTGCATTTAAAATGGTGAATGTTATTATAAATAAGTAAATATCATATATCTCAATAATACAGGGAAAGTATAATGCATCTTAATGTGTCAAATCTTAACAATTGATTGTTCTCTCTCCAGCCTTGCCATCATTTTGAGTAGCAAAATTATTCTTCATCATTTCATTGACTTTAAACTTGTTACAATATTTGCTTGGGCCAATGAAATATGAGGACAACATAACATATGGCATTTCTGAGCATAAGATTTGTATGTAATTATGTAGTTTGTCCATTATCTCTTTGAGATTTTGTGATTTGCTGGAAAAAAGAATCTTTCCTCGAATAGCAAACGCTCACTTAGCCTTGGCCCCAGAATAAGAAGTCAAGTATTATGCATTAGAATCCTGCTGAGGCCAGCTGAGCCCAGCCTACACAGCAAACACCAAGCCAACCTATGATTTTTATGTAATGTGGTGAAGAATTAAATGCTTGTTTTGGTTAGCTACTTGCAATTCAGTGTTTTGTTGTTTTGTACCTTGAAACACCAGTCTTGCCTATATACTGGCCTCCTTACTATATCCCTTGGATGTCATTTTTTTTTTTTTTTTTTTGAGACGGAGTCTCGCTCTGTTGCCCAGGCTGGAGTGCAGTGGCGTGATCTCGGCTCACTGCAAGCTCCGCCTCCCGGGTTCACGCCATTCTCCTTCCTCAGCCTCCCTAGCAGCTGGGACTACAGGTGCCCACCACCACGCCCGGTTAATTTTTTTTTTTTTTTTGTATTTTTTAGTAGAGACGGGGTTTCACCATGTTAGCCAGGATGGTCTCCACCTCCTGACCTCGTGATCCGCCCGCCTCCGCCTCCCAAAGTGCTGGGATTACAGGCGTGAGCCACCGCGCCCAGCCTGGATATCATCTTAAATTAATTTGGGCAGAATAGAATTCTTTATCCATACTGCAACTGATTCTTTCTCATCGAATTTAGGTGTATGAACAGCAATACCCCACAAAGTTGCTGAAGCCAAAAATCCAGGGATTTCCCTGAGCTCCACTTTCGTTCTTCACCCCTTCAACAAATCCAGATAAATCATTTAAAAAACCGTGGTTAACATCCTTACTTGCTTAAAATAATCTAATGGTTTGCAATTATACTTTCAAAGAAATCAAATCTTCCTGCTCTCGTTTATGTCATTGCTATATACATTATTATTTTTTGACTCACTATGCTCTAGCCTCCCATATTTTCTTTGCTTCATAAAGATCATTCCTGTTTTATACTATTTTGCACTAGATGTTTTCATTGCCCTTAAGTCCCTCCTAATCCAGATACTCACACAACAACCTTCTTTGGATCATTCAGACACCTGTCTTCCCCTCAACACTTAACCCTCTGTCACTCAAACCAAAGTAGTCACCCAAACAAGCGCTCTCAAATGATTCTCCTTCAATCTCTTCCATAGTTTTCCTCTCCCCTTATTTATCTATTATTAAATTCTCCCATTCATTTGAAGAGTATCTCTAAGAAACATTTCATAATTGCTCAAACCTGAATAACCAGCATTAAGGATAGGGGTTGGGACATAGCAGACATTCATTATGTATGTGATAAATGAATGAAATCAGTACAATCACATCGCAATGAAATTAAACAAAAATGCTTGCAGGAAGATAGTAACACATATATGAATTTATTTTTTGGTATCTTCAAATAGTTAAAATTTCTCTTTTATTAAATTCACAGAAATGATCAAAATAAGGAATAATCTTGGAAATAATTTTTATGTTACTTTTGTACTCTTACTTTTTATATTATGGTGATAATTATCATCTCCATTATTTTGAATCTTAAATATTTGATAATAAATAATAAATTGTTACTGTAAGATTCTCTTTTTAAAAAATTTTATGTTAATTTTTGTGGTTACACACTAGGTACATATATTTATGGGGTACAGGACATGTTTTCATAGAGGCATGCAATGCGTAATAATCACATCATGTAAAATGGGGTATCCATCCCCTCAAGAATTTATCCTTTGTGTTATAAACAATTCAATGATAATGTTTTAGTTATTTTAAAATGTACAATTAAATTACTAGGGACTATAACCACCCTATTGTGTTATAATATACTAGGTCTTGTCCATTCTTCTATTTTTTTATACCCGTTAATGGTCTCCATTCCCCCCCACCCTCCCATTATTCTTCCCAGCCTTTGGTAACCATCCTTCTACTCTCTGTCTTCATGAGTTCAATTGTTTTGAGTTTTAGATCCCCCAAATAAGTGAGAACATGTGATGCTTGTCTTTCCATGCTTGCTTATTTTACTTTGCATAATGACTTCCAGTTCCATCCATGTTGTTGAAAATGACAGGCTCTCATTATTTTTTATGATTGAATAGTACTCCATTGTATATAAGTACCTGAGTAAATACTGAATGGCATTTGTTCTTTGACCAAAAATATAAGTCAAATATTATACTCATGTTATAGCTTATTGCCTTATTTCCTGTTTTATCAAGCAATATATATTATGCTAAATTCAAGGGTATTTAGTTTAACAAATGTATACATTTAATAATAAACATTTAAAAATATATAAAGAGTAAACTTGCTAAAAGTCATTTCCTATCACTATGTATTGTGGCAACCATATATCTTTATAATAATTGATAAATATTTATTTATAGTCACCAAGACCAAAGTAAATTGGACCAACTTATGACAATACATAACTGTTACTTGCCTAACCCAACTACAAATTTTCTGTTATATGTCACAGTTGAAGTAAGTTGCTGGTAGCATTGTTCCTAGCTATGAAATGAAAGGCAAAGAGTATATCTCAACAAATATATTTAATCTAACGTTTAGTTCTATTTAAATAAATAATTTATTTTGACATTAGCAAAGAAATGAGAACTATAAATGAT
Organism: Homo sapiens; assembly: GCF_000001405.40. Classification (NCBI taxonomy): domain Eukaryota; kingdom Metazoa; phylum Chordata; class Mammalia; order Primates; family Hominidae; genus Homo; species Homo sapiens. Next base: position 82,124,920 of record NC_000013.11, read on the forward strand.
CAATTGTCAAATTAATTTTTCATATTTCAAACATTACTACATTTGGTTTTCAATCAAAATATTGTTTTAATAGAATAATATGTATGCTTGTATGTTTAAAATTTCAAAATAATAAAATATACAACTATTACCTGAACTAGGAATTGAATTCAATGTTTTCACAAAAACATCTTGTAGTAGTAAAAATTTAAAATTATTTTAAGAATAAAACTTTAAACATTATTTTAAATATGTAAAATATGTGCTTTTCTTCTTAGTATAAATACTAAGAATTTATAATTAGTATAAATACCAATACTAAGAAGTATATATACTTCTTAGTATAAATAGATGTACATATCTATACATCCTAACAAAAAAGTGATTATACTGGTTTTTAATTCCTTAACTTTGTTTTTGAAGTTTTTATTCCTATTCTCTTACCAACAAAGTTAACTCATATTGCTTGTACACAGGCTCAGGTTAATTAACCTTACTGGATTCTTAAGTAGCCCAGGGTTAAATAACACACTTGCAAATACAGAGAATAATGACCATTTCAGTAAATTAAGACTATTTACAACAGGTGGGCATTAAAAATGATTCTCCTTCCTGCTCTGATTAATGTACAAAAATTTGTTTTAGTAATTGACCATGCTATATAGGCTTCAAAACCTGAAAGAGCAAAGGTATGATGATACGTAATTCACATTAACTGACATTTGCCTGTTCAGAGGAGACTGTATTAACCACTGAGATTGACTAATTGCTAGATTTTTAATTTCATTGGCTCTTAAGAACACATTTTTATTTAATTCTAAAAACTTTTGCTTGGATATTAAATTATATAAATGTATTTTTTAACTAATTATAAAAATGAATGATACATATCTTATATGTTCTGCATCTTATAACTTACAGATCTTCAAGATGATGTTAAGATGATCATATCTAATAAATTTTGATATGTCTTATTTCATTTTCTGATCTGCGATTAAAACATGTTTGGACGTTGGACTGATATCATACAATTTGTCAAAAATATAAAAACTATTTACTCTCAGCTAATCCATTCAGTAAAGCCAAACTACTTGTTTAATCACCACCTAAAATTATTATAAATTTAAGCAGAAATTATCCATGTATCATACGTGGAAAAAAATTTGATGATACATATTAAGGCACTAAACTAACTGTTTAACCAAAACAAAACTATTTTAATTGATCTTCCAATGTAGTATTATTCTTCAATGAGTTTGTGGTAGATTTTGTAATGGCTGCCCAAATGTGTCCGTACCCTAATTTCTGGAACCTGTGAATGTTATCTTACATGACAAAAGGGACTTTGCAGATGTGATTAGATTAAGTATCTTGAGATAAGGAGATTATGTTGCATTATATAGGACCCTATAAAAGAAAGGTAGTAGAGTCAAAGGGCCAAAGAGTGTTATGTCACAATGGAAGTAAAGAGAGAAAGCAATGTGATAACAGGAGCAAAGAGATGGTGTGTAAGTTACAACAGAAGCAGAAATCACAATAATACAGGGCCAGGAGTCAAGGAACTCAGACAGCTTTTAGAAGCTGGAAAAGGCAAGGAAACAGATCTTAGAGCTTCCCGAAAGAACACAGGTCTGCTGACAAATTAATTTAGTCTAGTGAAACTCATTTGGAGCTCTGACCTCCAAAACTCCAAGATAATAAACTTGTACAGTATTAAGCCACCAAGTGTGTGGAAACTGTTTATAGCAGCAATAGAAACTTAATACAAAGCATAAAACACTTTCTTTGCTACAATAACATTTATGACTGTACTTCAATTATAAATTATAAGTATAATTATCATGTAAAAAATTGTTTTCTACAGTTACTTTTGCAAACAACATGGAAATACTCTTATTCCAGAAATTTGAGTGGCTTGTTCATTTTCCAGTGAATAACTTCCATGTTAATTGCATGTACTTTCCTGTGGAGTCAGTTAAAGAAAAATGTTAATGTATTTAGGAGAATTTTTCTAAAGGGATTTATTGTTTAATTAACTATAAATTACATGATAAATGATCAATTTTGGAAAGATAATATGTACATGAACAAACAAAATTAAATTTAAAAAGAATCATTACTTACCTTCAGTAATACATGAGTGTTATAATATTTTGTATCATAATTATCACTAATGATTTGAAGCATACTTCATTACATATTTTAAATGAAACTGTTAATAAATGCATAGTAATCCACCCGTGGCCTGCATTATAATTTATTTAATCATCACTATAAGTGAATACCTAGTATTTTTAATTTAAAATAACACTTTTATAACATAACTGTATGTAATAATACCTATGTTTCAGTGATAACTATCTTGAAAAATATGAGAGTGAAATTACTGAGTCAAATTGTATATACAATTGTAAATTATTGGATGTAAGTAGCACATTTTCCTCAAGAAGATTTTAAATTAGATATATTCTTATAAAATGAATTAGAATGTTTAATCACAATATCTGTGATATCTAGTGCAATAAATTATTTATTGTTTTACAAAGTTATAGAAAAATTAGTATCAAGGTGTTTTTATCAGCATTCATTGAATTTGTGATGTAAATATTTTTTAAATTGCTTTTTATCCATTTATAACTCCTTTCTTCTCATTTCAGATTAATAAATGCCTATGTTTACTACTTATTTATGGCTTAACTTTTTAATTGATTTAATTAAATGGTATTTGTTTTAAATAATTTGGGTAGATATTTTATTTTTTTGATAGAAAATATTAAATAAATTTTCAGCATATTATGGGGTTCTATAATCTCTTTTTCTTAATTTTCCTCTTACTTCTTCAATGATACAACACTCGCTTATGAATTTTACTTTTATTATGAATTTCAATATCTCTAATTTAAATTCCCTGATCTTAATATTAATTTAATAACTTGAAATAATTGTTTAACTGGATTCAACCATTGAAAATATAAAATATGCTGAAAGAAGGCATAAACAATGAAAACATTGCTTAATATTTGCTAAGTATAGAAAATGTCAAAACCAAAATTAACCCATCTCTATGTCTGGCAAGTTCTTCTCAGGTAGTAAGTATGATTGCGATAAATAGTACCAAAATTATCTGTTCCAGGATTACCAACCCCATTTAGTTAGAAGTTTCTCTTATAGATACAGCAGAATTTGCCTGGTGATTCTAACTAGCCAAGTTTGGATCATATGCCCCATTTCCACCCACCTCTGTAGGTGTGTATGGATTTTTTAGGGCTTTGCTTCCTAAGCATAAGAGGAATCATCACAGATACTTCATCAAGGAGGCAGAATTTTAGATTCTAATCAATTTTCATTGTTTTTGTATTTTTCTTATATCTGAGATGTCACCCATTTTAAGGCATAAGCTGCCTACTGTATATATATTATATTTATATTTATATATGTAATATATATTTATGTATATTTTGTCTATTTTCAGACCACAATGGTTATACCTTAGAATATGTGTTAATTCAACATTTCAAGGATATTTTGAAGTTCTTTAATTTATTGTCATTCAGACAAAGCTGCAAAGGATTTTCTCTAGGGTACAGATCTAGGGGAGTCATTGCTAAATTAAACTGTACGCACAGTTTCAGTTTTACCAGAAACCAAAAAATTACAGTATAAATTGCTTTTCTATTTTACATTCCCACAGGCAACATATATGAGTTCCCATTGTTCCAATGTCATGCAAGGCTGGTCCCATATGCACTAGGACTTTGGAGAAATTTATCAATGTCATATGGCAAAGTGGATTTATTTTGAAAAATAAAACATATAAGGCCATGGCTAGCAAGATAATAGAAGGATTTGGCTTTTGTTCATTCTTCTCACAAAGAAGCATGCCAGGATTAAGGCTAGGGCAATTTGTGTAACACATGGTGTGGGATTGGATTCCAACACAGGCACTCTATGAATTTATTTCATTCTGTTTCATAGACTGAGTGTATGAGCAATCTTCTCAGTGAGAGTCACAAAAATTTTGTAGGTACCAGAAAGTCTAGTTTCGGTAAATATTGCCTGGGACTATCGGTTTCCAGTTACCTGGGGATCTTGTGGTCAGTGGACTCTGAATAAAAATTAATATTACAGTGCAGACAAAGGCAGAAGGATTTCAGTCAGGGTTGTCACCATATACTTACAGAAGACAATATGAAAATGGAAACATCTTCACCATTTTTGTCATTTTCTTTTACAACTTAAGTTACACTTTCTTAGGGAAAATTGTGATTTCAGTCATTTTTTATAAAAACCTTTTTTTTTAAGTTTTATATGCCCCATTATGAGATAACTTCATGTAGGAGTTTTCAGTTATAAAAAGGGCTAATGTTATGTGTTCATCAAATATTTAGTTTATATTTACTATGTACCAGTCACCATGCTGAATTCTGAATTCATTATCATAAAATGAATTATTTACTCAATAAACTTACAATCTAGTGAAGTAGATAGTTTTGTGTGTGTGTGTGTGTGTGTGTGGAAAGAAAGAGAGAATACACCTAATGGGAAGTGGAAGGGGATGGGGAAGTGAAAACAAAGGTGTTTGAGAGTCTGAACGAGGTACAGACAGTTTTAGTAGGTTTTATGTTTATATTTCTTAAAATGACTCACAAGGAGTTGGAGAGCACTGAATCAGATTATGAAAGATTTGTAGGTCATATTAAGAATGTGATGTTCAATTACAACTTCAATGGGAAAAATAATAAGGAACAATTTTAAAAAATTTGAAAAGGAATAAACAAGGTAATTTATAGTTTTTAAAAAGTAATTGAAAGGACTGTATCTAGAAGTTATTGGTGAAAAACAAGGTTATTAACTTATATGTATAATTAGCTAACATATATTGTGCACCTGCTATGTGCTATATAATGAATTAGCATTTGAAAGTCATCAGTAAATCAAGTAAGAAAAAAATTTATGCCCTGTAGACCTTGCCTTCTAATAGGGGAAGATAGACAATAAACAATGAACTTAATAAATAGGTTAATTATACAGAATGTTAGGAGATAATATAGAAAGATGACAAAGAAAAATGTAGAGGGAATCCAGTAGTGCTGGCTAGAATAGGATTGACAGTATAAGGCCTGGTTGAAACAGGGATGATGAAAGAGAGACTTAATAGATGTAAGATAATTAGCCAAGGATGTGTCAAGAGGTAAAGATGTCCATGCAGAGCTAATCACCTAGCTAAAGACCCATAGCAGAAGTTAATCGCCCAGGAATTTTTAAATTATTTGACATTTGAGAAATAAAACTTTTCATTTTGTGTTGAGACAGAGTCTCACTATGTAGCCCAGGCTGGTCTCAAACCCCTGGCCTCCAGTGATCCTCCCAACTAAGCCTCTCAGAGCACTAGGTTAACACATGTAAGCCATCACGTCTGACCCTAAAATATTTGATAATAAAGTAAGAAAAGGTCAGTTATGATAGTATAATAATTATATTCTTATAACTATCATATAAAATTATGTTACAATTATTTTCACCAAATCAATGCCTTAATTATGTAATTATTGCTGTTTGTTTAGTTTTACAAAAATATTCAAGGAAGGTTTGTATACTATTTAGAAATTATTTTCATAAGACACAGTCATGTAAATTACCTCAAAAATTACTGATTTTACAAGGTCTGAGAAAATTAGAATGTACCTTATTTCTTTATACTTTGCTTATTTCAATATTAGACGACTTATACAAAGTGCTAATATTTTTTTACAGTTGAAAATGATACAGACTGTGATGCTCTCTGTATTATAGAATAATTGATCAACTTCATCATTTATTACAGGAAAAATTTTGGGATATCTAAAACCTAAGGAGAGAATATATAAAAATATTTTTTTATTCATAAATTAATTCAAACCAAATTTGCAGAACAGCAAAGTGTCTGCCATTGTATTAAGCAACTTGGTTCTTCAATTTGAAGATGTGATTAATATGACTAAAAATAATGGTTTTTAAAGTGGTAAACACATGATGTATGTTTGTGCCAGTTTAGCATTGTATATCACAGATTTTATTTTTCCATAGTCATTCAGAAGACTTCCAAAGTTTCTTATCAATTTCTTTGAAATAAAGTACATTTTCTATTCTAAAATTTATTGCATTGTATTAGTATGGTATGAATACTTCCCAAGGTGATAAAATCAGTTTAAGGAATGAAGATCCTTAGAGCAATTGTCCTTTAGCCATTTAAATTTGGGACAGCTTCAAGGATTCATGGGGCTTTCTTCATTTCACTGGGAGAGTGAGGCCTCAGAATTCCTTCAATCCCAAATCTTCATCTGAACTCCTGTGCTCAAGCATTCTCAAGAAAACCTGTGGCAAGTTACATAAAAGAGAAATGCCTGCCCAAGCATTACTGCCAAGTGATTACCTTATAATCTTTTCTCCTCTACAGTGGAACTGCTTACTGATTTTGATTCTATCAATCACTAACTCCCTGACTAGCCGGATTATTAGTTCATTTGGAATCTCAGTGCTACCTTCGATAGTTAACTACTGTGAGCCAGATTGTGCCTGCATCTCAATTCCATAGTTTAAGTTCCATGCTAAATCCCACGACTTTGTCATGACAATACTTTTTCAATGTATAAATATTGTGGCCTACTGATTTTTCACACACACACAGACACACACACACACACACACACACACACGAAACTGGTTGATATTAAAGGCATTGTAATGATGTCTGAAGGAGTCAGAAGATGTTTAGAAAATAAAGAATATATTATGGCCCTTATGTGACCATGTAACAATAAAACTGAGACCTTTTTCCTTACAAATCTCTATCCTTTACACATAGTGGATTTGTGTAATCATATTTCTAAATCTTAGATTTTGTGTAATGTCACAAATCATAAAATATATACTGTATAGTGTTATGTCAGATATCATGAAAGACATACCATATTTGGAACTAATAAACTCAGACATTTAAATGAAAACATGTAAACTTATTTTGGGGTACTGTTAATAATTATTTAATATTATTGACATGTAAGTTAATAAAAAATTCAAATTGCACACCACGGGTAGAGCAAACACTTTTTATCACATTTGTGCCAATAATTATTAAAATGCCAAGAAATAACAAAAATCAGTAATGATCAAATAATTTTGTAAAATGCATTCAAATTCTTCAAAAAATGACATTGGTAGTTTGATAGGCATAGCATTGAATCTGAAAATTGCTTTGGGCAGTTTGGCCATTTTAATAATATTAATTCTTTCAGTCAATGAACATGGAATGTTTTCTCATTTATTTGTGTCATGTCTGATTTCTTTCAGCAGTGTTTTATAGTTGTCTTTTTATAAATCTTTCACCCTCTTGGTTGGCTGTATTTGTAGGTAATTTATTTTTTTTTGTTGCTATTGTAAATGGGATATGTTCTTGATTTAACTCTCAACCTGGCCACTACTGTTACATAAAAATGTTACTGATTTTTGTACATTGATTTTGTATGATGAAACGTGGCTAAAATTATTTATCAGTTCTACAAGCCTTTTGGGTGGTGTCTTTAGAGTTTTTAAGTATAGAATCATATTGTCAGCAAAGGGAGAGAGTTTTTCTTCTTTTCCTATTTGGATACCTTTTATTTATTTCCCTGGAATGATGCTCTGGCTAGAACTTCCAGTACTATATTCGGTAGGAATGCTGAGAGTGGACATCCTTGCCTTTTTCCAGTTCTCAAGTCAAATAATTTCAGCTTTCACCTGTTCAGTATAATTTTGGCTATGGGTTTTTCACAGATGGCTTTTATTATTTTCAGGGTTGTTATCATGAAGGTACCTTGGATTTTATCACAAGACTTTTCTACATCTATTGAGATGATCATATGTTTTTTGCTTTTAATCCTGTTTCTGTGGTGAATCACATTTATTGATTTGCATGTGTTAAACCAACCTTGAAAAAGCCTACTTGATATGATAGATTACCTGTTTGATGTGCTGCTGGATTTGATTGAATAGTATTTTGTTGAGGATTTTTGCATCTATGTTCACCAGGGATATCGGCCTGAGGTTTTCTTTTTCTGTCATGTTTCTGCCAGATTTTGGTATTAGGCTGATGTTGGCTTCATAGAATGAGTTAGGGAGGAGTCCCTCCTCATTGAGTTTTTGGTGTAGTTTCAGTAGGATTGTGACCAGCTCTTCTTTGGACATCTGGTAGAATCTGGCTGTGAATCTGCCTCTTCCATGGCTTTTTTTAGTTGGTGGACTCTTTAATACTGATTTTGTTTCAGAGCTCAATATTGGTCTATTTAGGGTTTCAGTCTCTTCCTGATTCCATCTTAGCAGATTGCGTGTTTCCAGGTATTCATCCATTCCTTTAGATTTTCTGATTCATGTATATAGAGTTCATAGTATTCTCTGAGGATCATTTTTATTTCTGTGGGATCACTTGTTATGTCATCTTTGTTATTTCTGATTGCACTTATTTGGATATTCTCTTTTCTTTTCTTAATTTATCTAGTGGTCTATCAATCTTATTTATTTTTTCAAAGAACAATCTCTTGGTTTCATTGTTTTTTTGTATAAGTTTTTGCATCTCAGTTTTTTAAATTTCTTCTCTAATTTTAGCTATTTCCTTTCTTCTATTAGCCTTGCAGTTGGTTTGTTTTTACTTTCTAGTTCCTTTAGGTGGGAAGTTGAATTATTAATTTGAGATCTTTCTAACTTCTTGATAAAGGTGTTTAGAGCTATAGATTTCCTCTTAATTTGCTGATTGCATCCCAGAGATTCTCAGAATTTGTGTCTCTATTTTCATTAATTTTAAATACTGCTTTGATTTCTGTTTGAATTTCAGTGGTCACCCAAGAGTTGTTCAGCAGCAAGTTGTTTAATTTTAATATATTTGTGTAGTTTTGAGAGATATTCTTAATATTGATTTATATTTTTATTGCATTGTGATCCATAAATCCATAGGGAACCAAAAAAATAGCTCAAATAACCAAAATAATCCTATGTAAAAAGAATAAGGCCTGGGAAATCACATTACCTGACTTGAAACTATACTATGAGGCTACAGTAAACAAAACAGCGAGTACTGGTACAAAAACAGACACAAGACCAATGGAACAGATTAGAAAACTAAGAAATAAAGCCTCACACCTATAACCATCTAATCTTCAATAAGACTGATGAAAATAAGCAATGGGGAAAGGACTTCCTATTAAATAAATAATGCTCGGATAGCTGGTTAGCCATATGCAGAAGAAAGAAACTGGATCCCTATTTTTCACTGTATAGAAAAATTAACTTAAGATGAATTAAAGATTTAAATGTAAGATGTAAAACTGCAAAAGTTCTAGAGGAAAACCTAGGAAATACCCTTCTGAAACCTACTTTGGCAAAGAATTTATGACCAAGTCGCCAAAAGCAATTGCAGCAAAAACAAAGATTGATAAGCAAGATCGAATTAAACGAAAGAACTTCTGCTTAGCCAAAACAACAACAACAACAACAACAAATCAATAAATAAACAGATAATCTGCAGAATTCAAAAAAATGTTGGCAAGCTATGCATCCAACAAAGGCCTAATATCCAGAATTTATAGGGAACTTAAACAAATCAGCCAGCAAATTATAACCCCATTGAAAAGTGGGGAAAAAGCAAGAACAGACATTTTTCAAAAGAAGACATATATATAGCCAATAAACTTATGAAAGAATGCTCATCATCACTAGTCATCAGAGAAATGCAAATTCAAACCACAATGAGACACCATCTCACAGAAGTCAGAAAGGCTATTATTAAAAACTCAACAAACAACAGATGCTGGCAAGGCTGCAAAGAAAAGGAAATGCTCATACACTGTTGGTGGGAATGTAAATTAGTTCAGACCTTGTGGAAAACAGTTTGGGTATTTCTCAAAGGACTAAAAACAAAACTATCATTTGACCACAAATCCTATCACTGGGTATATACCCAAAGGAATATAGATTATTTTACCAAAACGACATGCACTTGTATGTTCAACACTACACGATTCACAATGGCAAAGACATAGAATAAACCTAGGTCTCCATCAGTGGTGGATTGGATAAACAAAATGTGATACATGTACACCATGGAATACTATGCAACCATAAAAAGGAACAAAATAATGACATATGCAGCAACATGAATGGATCTGGAGGCCATTATTTTAAGCAAATTAACACAAGAACAGCAAAAGAAAATTCAGCATATTCTTGCTTGTAAGCCAGAGCTAAACATTGATCACATATGGACACAAACATGGAAGCAATAGACAGTACCAAATAATATAGTGTGGGGGGGGTTATGTGTTGAAAAAAGACCTATTGGGCTCTGTGCTCACTAGCTGGGTCCAATATACCCATGTAACTAACCATCCTATACATGTACCCCTGTATCTAAAATAGAAGTGAAAATTTTCTTTTTTACAAAGGAGACATATAGCCACACAACATTTTTAACCTTATGTGAATAACCCATTATTCATAATAGCCAAAAGGTAAAAATGATCCACATGTTCATCAACAGGAGAATGGATAAAATGTGGTGTATCACTACTATGCAATACTGTTTGTCCATAAAGAGAAATGAAGTTCTGATGAATGTTAATACAGAAATGGACCTTCATCACTTTAAGTAAAAATGCCATTCACAGAAAAATATATATTACATGATTCAACATGCATGTAATATCCAGGATAAGGTAACATATACATACAGAAATTAAGTTAGTTGTTACATAGAGCCAGGGGTGACAGTGGTGGTGGTAAATAAAAAGTGGCAGCTAATTGCTATTTTTTTCCTTCAGGAAACTTTTAGTATTGACTGTGGAGATGGCTGCATATTCAAAAACATTAAATTGTACACTTTAAATAGGTGAATTTTGTTATATGTCAATTAAATGTTAATAAAAATTTAAAAAAGAAAGAAAAATAATCTTCACATATACTGTGAAGATTTCCAGACATAAGCTGGAAAGCACATTTTAAACTTTTAAAAATATAACACCCAAACATAAATTACCAATTGAAATTATATTACAGAGTATACCATAATCTTACCAAATTATCAATTCTAGCACATTAGATTTGGATATTTTTGATGAAACAATTCATGTGTCTAATATTTTAAAGTAAGACATTTAATTTTATGTTCAAAAAGTAAACATCAATGTATAATATATTACAATATTACATGTGTTAGATAATTGTTATTTACTTTTAAAGTTTTTAAATAATATTTTGCCTAACATTTTAGAAAACTTATTTACTAAGTAATATGGTTTGTCTGTGTCCCCACCCAGATCTCATCTTGAATTATAGTTCACACAGTCCCCATGTGTCATGGGAAGGACCTGGTGGGATTTGATCATGGGGGCAGTTTCCCCCTTGCTCTCATGATAGTAAGTTTTCACGAGATCTGATGGTTTTATAAGGGATTTCCCCCTTTAATCGGTTATCATTCTTCTCCCTACTGCCAGGTGAAGAAGGACATGATGGCTTCCCCTTCTGCCATGGTTGTAAGTTTCCTGAGGCCTTCCCAGCCATGCTGAAGTGTGAGTTAATTAAACCTCTTTCTTTTATAAATTACCCAGTCTTCGGTATGTCCTTATAGCAGCGTGAGAATGATCTAATACACTAAGAAAATACTCTTTATGGAAAGTGCCTGCAATTAACATGAAATACCAGGTTTCAACATCTACAGTAAATAAAATAATGTCGGTTTTCTTAATAACATCAAACAATAACACCAAATCTCCACTTACTGCTTTAAGAGAAAAAAGTTGAATAAAATTTAAATTATGTAATGGAGCACATAAATGAAACTGTAACATGGAAAGGTCAAAATATGGCCTAACATGAACAAATTGGAAATGCCCAATCTACCTTGGTTTAATGTAAAGGAAGGATGTTGCTTCATAGCCAAAGAAATGGGGGCAATGGGCACATACTCAGGATTCACTGTTATTGCCCTGTTTCCTCACCTCCCTGTCCCAAAACAGATGGATTAGTAGAATGGTGGAATGCCTTTGTGAAGATTCATTTATAGCACCAACTAGGTTGCAATACATATGAGCTAGGGCAAGGTTCTCCATAAAAGGCTGTGTATGCTGTGAGTCAGTGCCCAGTATGTGATACTCGTTCTCCAATAGCCAGGATTCACAGGTCCTGAAATAAACGGGTGGAAATGGGAGTGTCACCATTCACCATTTCTCCTACTGACTCACTAACAAATTTGTTGCTTCTTATTCCTGTGACTTCATGCTCTGCCAGCCTAAGAAGTCTTAGTCCCAGAGGAAGGAATGTTTCTACCAGTAGACACAATGATTCCCTTGAATTCTAAGTTAAGACTGCCACTCAGCTACTTTGGGCTTCTCTTGCTCTGAGTCAATAGACCAAGGAGGCAGTTATAGTGTTGGCTGGGATTATTGATTTTCAATACTATGGGGAAAGTTGAACTACTATTCTACAATGGAAGTAAAGAAAGTATATCTGAAATATCAGAGGTTTCTCAGGGCTTCTCTTAGTGTTACCATCCCTAGTAATTAAGGCCAATGGAAAACTACAACCTAATCCAGGCAGGACTACAAACAGCCATGATCCTTCAGGTATAAAAGTTTGTGTAACTACATCAAGTAAGAAACCACGACCAGCTGAGCTGCTTGCTGAAGGCAAAGTGAATACAGAATGAATAGCTGAAGAAGGTGGTTATAAATTCTAGTAACAACCATATGACCAGTTACAGAAGTGAAGACTATAATTGTCACGAGTATTTTGTTCCTATGTTGTACACCCTCATGTGTGTACGTGTACATATATTAAGCAAGTATCTTTGTTTACATTCCTATCTTATTCCCTTATCATATAACATAAAATGTATTGACTTTATTATCCCTTAATAAATATTGCTAATTTTACATCATAATATTTAAGTTATGGGATATTGTAACAGTGAACATCACTCAAGAACTTTATTTCCTCTTTGTCGGTAGGGATTAGTGCATGTTTAGTTGTACACAGAATAGTTGTATCATATTATGTGAAATTATTACCATCCTATTTATTTTCTTTATTTGGAGATCAAGTATGGTTTAAGGAGATTCGTATAGGTGCCGAGTTTACAAAGCGTGAAGTTGTTATTGTTCATTTTATGTGTCTACTTGACTAGGCTAAGGGATGTAAAACATTATTTCTGGATGTGTCAGTGAGGGTGTTTCTTGAAGAGAATAGTACTTGAATGAGCAGACTGAGTAAAAATCAACCTCATCAATGTGGGCAGCATTATTCAATCCGTTGACTGCCCTGTTAGTACAAAAAGATGGATGAGAGACAAATTTTCATTCTCCTCTCCTATGTCCACTTTTTGGATATGGACCCCTGTTACTAAATCACTGGATTTTGGCTGAATTACCATAATCACATAATCACCTGAGCCAACTTTTATGATAAATCATTTGTTATGCTTTTCTGGAGATCTCTGGTTGATACACATGTCCTACGAAAGATGATCACATGTGTTTACACTATGTATAACTACATATATATAGTTCAACATTTATCCTCAAAATGGCTCTGTACTGGGTGCTATGGTTTGAATGTGTTCCCCAAAAAGCATGTGTTGGAAAGTTAATTACCACTGCAGCAGTGTTAAGAGTGGGACATTTAAGAGTTGATTAGGTCACTAAGTCTCTGACTTTATTAATAGATTAATATTGTTATTTCCTGTGTGGGTCAGTTACTGTGGGTTCTTTATAAAGCGATAAGTTTGAATCCCTCTCTCTTTCTCTTTCTTGCCCTCTTTTTGCCCTCCACCATGGGATGATTTAGTAAGAAGGCTTTTGCCAGATGGTGCCTCCTCAGGAACCTTGAACTCCCCAGCCTCCGGATTTGTGAACCAACAAGTTATTATTTATTATAAATTATGCAGTCCCAAGTATTCTGTTATGACAGTACAAAACAGACTAAAACACTGTGCTACAAATCAAGTCTCATCAGATCACAAAGGATTGAAATAATTATTACACTATCTTGCCACAGTAAAATTAATTCAAAAATTAGACAGTACCACTCACAAATTGATTATGTTAAAATAAAGATATGTACTTTTTTTTTTTTTTTTTTTTTTTTTTTTTTTTTTGAGACGGAGTCTCGCTCTGTCGCCCAGGCTGGAGTGCAGTGGTGCGATCTCGGCTCACTGCAAGCTCCGCTTCCCGGGTTCACGCCATTGTCCTGCCTCAGCCTCCCGAGTAGCTGGGACTACAGGCGCCCGCTACCACGCCCGGCTAATTTTTTGTATTTTTAGTAGAGACGGGGTTTCACCTTGTTAGCCAGGATGGTCTCGATCTCCTGACCTCGTGATCTGCCCGCCTCGGCCTCCCAAAGTGCTGGGATTACAGGCGTGAGCCACCGCGCCCGGCCAAAGATATGTACTTTTAAATAATCCATAAATCAAGAAGCCATGTCAAAATTAAAAGGCATTTTGAAGTAAATGTTAATAAAGATATATCATGAAACTTAGAGAAGGTAGATAAGATGGAGTCAGGGATTTATTGCCTTATATGTGTATTTTAAATATAAGAAAGTGAAAAATCAATTATCTAAGACCCATCTCAAGGCATTAAAAAAAGAACATTAAGCAAATCCAAAATGTAAGAAGATAAGAAAAAAATAGCAATAGTTGTGGCTGTTTTTTGTGTTGGAATTGGTTTCGATAAGAGACATTTATAATTGAACTAAAAAGAAAGATAAGTCATTATGCATCAACGTCAAGTCTTCAGACTTGTGGCCATCAAAACCCAGTCATGAAAGAGGTAGGGCCCAGAATTAGTCTCTGTTTTTCAATTATGTAAGTGACCATAGTAAATATGGCAGCTTCTTGGGACTAGCTTACTGATTCAATCGTTCCAGCACTTGCAATATGTTACTCAACTCAGTGTTTTGATAGTGTCCTGAGTTATAGTTTCCCGAAACATGACTTATTTTTCATGCTGCAAGTCATTCTTAGATGCAGTCCAAGAACCTGCTCTGCTGGTCTTTACAGTATATTTGCAAAAATTAAACACTTTATTAAATCTCTTTAATGACCATAGAAATCATTGGGTATACACCCAGTAATGGGATTGCTGGGTCAAATGGTATTTCTAGTTCTAGATCCCTGAGGAATTGCCACACTGACTTCCACAATGGTTGAACTAGTTTACAGTCCCACCAACAATGTAAAAGTGTTCCTATTTCTCCCCATCCTCTCCAGCACCTGTTGTTTCCTGACTTTTTAATGATCGCCATTCTAACTGGTGTGAGATGGTATCTCATTGTGGTTTCGATTTGCATTTCTCTGATGGCCAGTGATGATGAGCATTTTTTCATGTGTCTTTTGGCTGCATAAATGTATGTTTATTGCCGCACTATTCACAATAGCAAAGACTTGGAACCAAGCCAAATGTCCAACAATGATAGACTGGATTAAGAATATGTGGCACATATACATCATGGAATACTATGTGGCCACAAAAAATGATGAGTTCATGTCCTTTGTAGGGACATGGATGAAGCTGGAAACCATCATTCTCAGCAAACTATCACAAGGACAAAAAACCAAACACCGCATGTTCTCACTCATGGGTGGGAATTGAACAATGAGAACACACGGACACAGGAAGGGGAACACACTGGGGCCTGTTGTGGGATGGGGGAAGGGGGGAGGGATAATAGTAGGAGATATGCCTAATGTTAAATGATGATTAATGGGTGCAGCACACCAACACGGCACATGTATACATATGTAACTAACCTGCACATTGTGCACATGTGCCCTAAAACTTAAAGTATAACAAAAAAAAAAAGAAATCATTGTTTTCCTAAGAGTGTAACTAGAATCAGCAATCCTCAGTGACACACCTTGAATACATTTATTTATTCATTCATTTATTTTAAATGTATATCATACATTTTGAAGATTTAGAATGTAAAATACAAGATATTCAGCTCTGAGAAAATCCCTCTAATTTTAAAAACATAACATTTTGTTAATTTTCTCATTTGTATTATGTTCTATTAACATTCTGTAGGGCCAGTATTTCAGAAACACACTATAAGAAAAGCAACACTAGACAATTTATTTTATGAAACAAAGACTTAAGAGATTCATGAACATCCAGCAAAATAAATCACGTGTTCCTTTCATTAAAACTTTTGAAATTGAATTTTACTGCCACATAGATGAAAGTTATTAGAATATTAAAATAACACCACCTGATTTAAATGCATACTTTCCCTCAGGCTCCTTCTATTAAATCTTTATTGGTTTCCAACTATCAAGAAATCTGGACAGAGTTAATATCTGACCTGAGGAAACAATATGCTCACAGAAAATAAAGTAAAATATTAATAAATTGAAATTAAAAACAACATAAAACTTTAGCTCTTGTGCAATATCTCAACAATCCTACTGAGAATGACAAATTAAGTCATTATAGAAAATCAAACTTGTTTCTTTATGTAAGAATGTTTAAAAATATTTTCCCATAGCCAGTAGCAATTTTCTTCAAGATCCAATTATGTATTCATTTTCAAATATTCCTCTGGAAAACTAGATAATATGAGGTATTGTTTAAGAATGTTTTATAAAGTATTTAGCATTTCATTGTACATTTAGAGTGTGTGTCACAAATACAACTACAGAGTACCAAGAGGTAGAGTCCTACCTGTCCCCACATCTGTTTAGGCTCTAAAACTGATATAACCAATAAAATACAGTAGGAATAATGTATCAGTTTCCCAACTCAGACCCCTGAAGGCTTCTTCTGGCTCTGTTTATTTATTCTTAAAAAACTATTTTTACTCTGTGAAGAAACCCAAGCAGCTTTTTTGAGAGAATGATGTGGAAAGGAACAAAGTGAAGTCCTGAGTTGACTACTGTAATATTATCTCTTTGCTAGTGTACTTATTGTTACTGATAATTAAATATGAAGCATATTTTAATTGGTAAATATTTCCAGAAACATGGGTTTTAGGTATTTTTATACATAACATGTTTAATGTTTCACAGAAACACTTACATGTAGAGATATTTATGATTTCTTGCATTATTATTTTTGGTTTTAATTTAAAGGCCTGAATGTGTTCACAATTTTTCTAGCATTATGAAATAATAATCTGTCTACAGTAGAAATCTGAAGGATTTGTGATTATAAAGCACATATGGAGAGAGAGGAAGAAATGGCTTAGCAAGTCGTAGTGAATTAAGGCTCAAAATTATTAATAATGGTACAAATGCTAAGCAAGGAAAGGATCAGAAAAATATTAAAGTTCTACGAAGTAATATTGGTCCAAGATGCTCATGGAAAAAATTTCACTCAATATATGGTATGTCCTCTTTACTTCTGTTTATACAATTTAGTTAAGGCCGGGCACGATGCCTTATCCCTGTAATCCCAGCACATTGGGAGACTGAGGCTGGCAGATCACCTGAAGTCAGGAGTTTGAGACCAGCTGGGCCAACATGGTGAAACCCTGTCTCTACTAAAAATTCAAAAATTAGCCAGGTATGGTGGCTGGCACCTATAATCCCAGCTAACTGGGGAGGCTGAAGCAGGAGGATTGCTTGAACCAGGGATGTAGAGGATGCAGTGAGCTGAGACCGCACCGTTGCACTCCAACCTGGGCAACAAGAGTGAAACTCTGTCTCAAAAAAGTTAAAATATATTTTATAACCCAATCATGGATGGGGCAATATATTTCAAATGTTAAAGAGACACTTAATTTTATTATTTTGAAAGGAGTTAGCCAGAGAGATATATCCAGAGATTCAATAAAGAAGTTTAACAATGCCGTGGTAATAAAAATGTTCTGAAATTTACTGTAGTGATGCTTGTACAACCATATGGATATACTAAAACCATCAATTTTTTGCACTTTAAATTTGTGAATTGTTCTACATGAATTATATATTAGTAAGGCTATTATTTAAGCAGATGCAGTTACCTTTTTCTGACTGGTAGCAGAAAGGAAAACCAGAGTAGTGGTAGCATGAGAGGGATTTAACGGTGACCATTGGCTTGAAGATGAAAGGGGGCATGTAAATGAATGCAAGTGGCCTTTCAAGGAATAAAATAGATTATGCCTGGCAGCCAGCAATGCAATGGGGACCTGAATTTAACCACTTTCATCTGACACAACTGACCATAATTAAGTCAACCATTTGAATGAAATTAAAAGAGGATTATTTCCCAAAGCCTTCAGATAAGAGCCCAGCCTGGCCAACACCTTGATTTTGGACTTGAAATATCATAAGCAGAGAATCCATTTGAATCTGCTTTGACTTGTAACTTACAGAACTATGAAATATAAATAAACAAATAGCAAATGTGTTGTCAACTGCTAAATTTGTGGTAATTTGTTATTCACGGATAGAATAAAAATAACTGACTGAATGAAAAATCTTCTGATCCGAGACCATAGTAATTATTTTGCTTAATCATCTATGTTTACAAGCCAAGATACTAAGGGATGTTTATTTTATTGGCTTGCACATATTAAGAAGGAAATTAAACATCCAAGTGAGTCGTTAAAACAGAATTATCATTTATGGTTTCCATGTAGCATAGGGGGATGCAGTACAGTAATCTTTCATTTTTTTCTCCTGAGAAAAAAATTAATTTTGAAAGGATAGTGATAATATTACTAAGAAACATTCAAACACAAGATGTGATGAGAAAAATTAATATATCTAATTTTATATTAATATTAGTTAAAATTATGTTATTTGGGAAAATCATCTAATATAAATTCTGAGAAAATATGAAATTGACATAGTTGGACCATATTAAAAGGCTGGATAAGGAAATCAAAACATTTCTTGAAAATTTAAAAAGAAACATAGTTTATTTGCTTTGATTAGCTAAGGAAGACATCCATAAATGGCAGAATCCTTGAAATCCATCACTAGAATATTATAAACAATAAAAATGTTTCATTTGTTTTGTAAGACACGTGAAGGCCCTACATTCTGCTAATTACTAGCTATTTTATGTGAAATATCTAGGATGTTATTTTTCTGTAAAATGGAGATTATGTTGTCTCAAAGGCCTATTGAGGTTAAAACTAAATATGTGTTTTTATTGAATTGTTCTAAATCTAAGTAGCAAATATTAACAATGAATCTGAATATTATTTAATCACTAAAATAATAAAGTACACAAGACTTCAAGGTTGGTTAAATAAGACAAAAATGATATTTTCAAAATATCTTATGATCTTATTTACTGCAATGTAATAAATGCTATGTCTGGACATTAAGGCAGAGAAAATGAACTGAATGTATATCTAATATCTGAACTTCCATTTTGAACAAGTAAAAACATAAGCACCAGCATCGTTTTGTTTTCAAAAGCAAGTTGATATAGCAGACTCACATGGAGTTGACCCACAGACTCTATTTAGAAACATGAATTCAAATAAGATCTCAAAGACAGTTTTCAGGAATAAATCTATAGAGATCAATAATCAAACATACAATGCAATTCAAATCTTGATAATAATAGATTAGGCAGTTATGCAGACAGCAGATAAAAAACACACATAAATTGTCAAAGGCTGTAGAAAAAGCAAGCTGATTAGAAAGAGAAGGCAAAACACAAGCTCATTTGAAACACAGAACCTGAAGAGATTCTCTGAGGTGCAGGAGAGTAGTCGCTGGTGGTGTTTGATAGGATGTTATCTTATAGGCCCAACATAAGATCCCTGCCATTACTGTGCTTTTTGGGTTGAGAGAAGACTTTAATAACATCAGTGAAGCCAATTTTACTCGGAGTGTTCTTTTTAAAGAAGAAGAATATTAAACTCTTGAGTGCAGAATGAGATATAGGCCCTTACATCTGCTTCAGGAAGTGAATAATTTCCTCAAATACACTTTTTTTTTTCATCAATTACTGTATCCAAGGGAATGGGATGGGAAAGCCTGACCACTTATGCAACATTGAAGGAGGCCATGTAAAACTCACCATCTCTCTATGTGACTGTCAAACTGTCTTAAAAATTATTGTTTCTTCACTAGAGAACATTTTAGAAATATATTTTCTCTAGTGTCTTCTAAAATTTATATATATTCAACATGACTGGATTTTTATAGTTGGTGTATTTTGAAGCTTTGCAGTATAGATGGTCCTCGACTTATAATGGGAATATGTACCAATAAACTCATCATAAGTTGAAAATATCATAATCCAAAAATACTTTTTATGCCCCCAATAAACCAATTGTAAAGTCAAAAAATTGTAAATCAAATTATTGTAAGTTGAGTACTATCTGTACTTTACGACAAGCTCAGTTAACTGGAAGTGACTGTGCAACAAGACAAAATAGCTATTCTTAGAACGAAAAGTAACAAATAAAGTCTTTTATGCCCACGTTTTTAAGATTCTATCAAATCACAAGATAAAATGAAAAAATCAAAATCAAAATTATTGCTATCCTCTCAAGACTAGGTACTACATCATATTCTAGGAATTATGGAATTAAGTATTCTAAATTGCTCATCATGCATATTCACTAAGCAGCAGCAAATAATTTTTTACTGGGCTCCTAGTCTATAACACATTTTTCTCAGTGGCTGCAGGAAAAAAAAATGAAAAAGTTCATGTTTTTATGGAATTAATAAGTAGAAACAGACAATAAATAAATGAATTGGCTATCGCCTAGTGTCAATGGTTATCATTACATTGGAGAAAAGTAAAACAGAAGAAGAGGATACAGAGATATGCATAGGGAGAGTCTATAATTTACTTTGTAGACAATGTGGGTAGAAAAGGATTTACTGACGTAAAATTTACACAAGACTTTAGAGGAAATGGGACGCTGATATTGAGAGGAAGGGGTTTTGGCCACAGACTACTGCAAAAAAAAAAGGCTCAATTTTTAACGTATCAATGACATAACTGGCAAATCTTTTTAACTGACTTCTTTGCATATAGTAAGAGCTGAGCCTGCCATCACTTATCAGGAATTAAATTTGCTTGTTTACCTATCTGCATTTTTCTCTCCAAACTCTAAACTTCTCGAGGCCAAAATAATTGGTGGATGCTGTTTATGTATCAGAAGTTCCTTTAAATAAAGGTCCTTGCCTATTCAACTATTGCATAAGTTCAGATTTTACTCAATCACTTTACCCAGAATTATTAAATTTGTGTTAGACATTAATCCCTTCCTGCCTCCTTTCTATCCTATGTTGCTAAATATCATGAATACTTGCACTTGAAACACACAATTCCTAATAAATTAGAACAATTAGTAGGGATCTTTGAATTGTCTAAATATTGGCATATTTAGACAGTAATTCTATGATTATCCTTCTTAACATTATTTTTAAAATTCTGTCACAAGTTAAATAGTTTTATCAAATATGTTTCCCTGTGTCTCATATGTGTTCTTATTGATATATTTCTATAAACTTGAATGATTTAACTATTCTGTATACCAACTAACTAGTAGTAAACAATTATCTATTCTTACTAAATACCAGGCTTTAAAATTCCCCTATTATATGTTTGATCATTTCCAAGTATAAGGTCAGGCCTAGAAGTCTGCTTAGGTTGAATACACAGCATTTAGGAAAAATTGAAACTAAAATATTAAAACAATAAAAATGACACAAATTATGATCAATAAACATCTTTTGAAAAGGAAGAATAAATTGACGCATAACAGGTATTTTCTATTTCTGAAATAAAGATTCAGAGATATAAAATCTACCTCTCCCATGCCAATCCATTTATTTTGGAATTTTTGGAAGGGATCTTGATAATACAGGTTCTGTAAAGACATTTCCTGAGTTTTTCACTGCTTCTTTAAGTGATATTATGGAGCTGACCTGAATAAGAATATTTATTATAATTGGAATCATTAGGAAGAAAATCTCATTGGGATAGATACATATTAGATAGAAGTTAGGGAAAATTTCCAAAAGCAGTGATGAGAGAAAAGGGATGCTAATTAACAGGAAAGATGAATAAAATTATTTTTTGATAAAAAAGTCATCTTCAGAAAGTCTCTAGTATCTACTTTTGGCCACATTATAAGGTATTTAAAGGATTAATAGAATTAGTAAACTAGATAGAATCTGCATTATTGCTGCAAATGCTTAACATAATGTTTGCAACTATCTTTGCAGGAACAAAGTAGCTATTTAAGATAAGCTAATCATTTTAGTATAAATAGAAAATATATTAGTAATTGCTATCTTTGATTGAGGACTACTTCTGTGACAAATAAACTAAATCATTTGCCTATCATATATTTAATCTTCATAACCTACCATGAAGTATTCATTATTTCCATTTTACACATGTGGTTAGTATACTTGAATGTATAAAGGCTACTTTTCTTTCAATACATTATTTAATGTCAATTTAAAGTTAGCAAAAAATACATTATTCAAAGTCAATAGTGGTATAATATTAACTCAATATATATTGTGATAATTTAAGGAGGCATACTGTAATCCATAGGGGTGGCAACCATTGAAAATAACACAAAGCAGTATAGGTGTAAAAAATGCTGTGAGAAAATAAAATGCTACAATAAGTAATTCTTTAAATAACAGGAAATAGATGGGATCAAATATATAGTAAAATGGAAGGAGATATATATATAGAGAGAAATATATATATTTATTTCTCTCTATGCATGTATATATATGTGAAGTGGTATAATATGAATTCAATGTATACAGAGAGAGAGAGAGAGAGAGAGAGAGAGAGAGACTTCTACAGAGCTCTAAGCATAATTGTGTAACTCCAAGCTCACAGTGCCTAAGACCAGTACCAGGCTGACTCATTGGAAAGCTGCCATAGTAAGACTCTTCTGTTCACTGCATTATTTATTGATGTATTGCAAGCACTTAGTTACATTTCTAGCATATAACACATGATCAATAAATATTTTGACATGAACAAATGGTAATTCTGCCTACAGCCAATGTGAATATTGGGATGGGTTGCTGGACATGGTATCACAGAAGTCTGGGATGTGGAGGAGAGTTCATTTCTTTAGTGGGCATCCGTGACTCTCTGGACTCTGACCCATCTAACGCCTATCTGTATTTACAAATACATTATCTATCTATCTATCTATCTATCTATCTATCTATCTATCTATCAATCAATCATCTATCTATCTTTCTGTCTGTCTTTTTGGGCTGCCTATGGCTCAACCCAAGTTGAAGGAGGAGATTTGACCAACAATTCAAGCTCTCTGAATATGTTTTGAAAATAATGTATATTAATGAATGTACAAATTTCCCCACTTGTACTTTCAGACTGTTATCTGTGAGTTAAAACTCCTCCACTCTTTTTCCTACCCAAATAATAGCATACTTTTTTCTGAGTATATTTTGGGAAGAAGAGTTATTCAGTTATTGTTATATTTTAAAAAATTCCTTATACCAAACTCTACTTGATCTAAGGCTATTCATTGAAACTTTCAGCATGCTTAATAGCAGTCTTTTATTCTCTCTTGCATTTGTATGGAGTTACTATATTCAAAATACATTTTTGTTGTGGGTTTGATAACTAGGACACAGGAAGAGAACCTCGGAAAATGAAAAACAGTTCATCTTGATCCAATACCAAATATACATGTTTAAAAAGATTAAAAAACATGTAAGTTTAAAGGAGAGATATATAGCATGTATTTCTTACTGTAACTTCATATGCAGTTTTGATGCCTGTTTACTTTCTTAAAATATTATGGTATTATTAAATTGATTAACATAAAATTTTAAAACGACCTCCTCTATGACTTACTCATAATTAATCCTGTAACTTAATTCCAAACCTAAAGTCAAGATTAACACAGTCTATTCAAAAATTAAGCTTTATTAGTTGTTATGAAAAAAAGTGGCAGCTTGGTCTTAGCTGAGCCTTACCTGCTCAATCTACTCTAACACTGTACTTCATATATGGAAAGTAAATACAGTAATTAATTTATTGAATACAAGCCTCATGCCTTCCTACTTTACACCATGCCTGCATTCCTTGCTAGTACTTCTAACAATACATGTACTTCCTATTGTTTTAGTGTCAGAATACCCATTACCAGTGTTTGAAACTCTATTGTCTCCTTTTCAAATTCTCTTGCTTAAAATCTTACTCTGTTGCAGTATCTATGACAGTGTTTTACCAACCAGAGACCTAATGCTAACTCTTCCCTGTGTTGACTGTGTCATATTTTGTAATGCCATATTCTCTAATAACTGATACATCCCTATGTATTTTGTTTGATAGAGAAATTAAGGAAAACCTATTCTGGCACATGTGCCTGTTGATTCAGCCTCATGACATTGTATTCTAAATACTGGATGGTATTCCTGCATGAAAAAAAATCAAACACTAACTATTCTAATGCTTTCCAAAAATTGAGTATTAGAAAACAACATGCTAACAGTACATTATATTTTTGCATATGAAAATAACTATGGAGTTTTATAATATTATGTATATAGAGTGGCATATTGTATTTCTTGAAGCAAGAATAGCTAATGAGATTTTCATAAGCTTTTCTTAATTAAGCACATTAAAACAATTATATGAACAAATTTTATTCAAAAAGCCTTCTTATATAAACTGTGGATTTTTCTCTCTGTAAATCTAGTGCTGCTCTTAACTTTTAGCCAAAGATAATGCCTTCTTTAGTGATGATTAATTTGATCTGGATTATCCAGACTATTTTTTATCCTTTCTTTTAATACAACTTATACAAAATGCTTATCTAGAGATGGAGAGTGTCTCTTGCTAATTGAATAACTTTTCTTCATTAACAAGGTGATTTTCCTACTGTGAACACATTTTATTGTAATATTACCTGACTATAAAATGTATTTTTATTTAGCCAATGAATCAAAGTATCTTGTTACTGTGTTAAGAACACTTAACATGAGATCTACCTTCTCAGAAAATATTAAGGGCACAGCACAGCACTATCAACTGTGGGTACAATGTTGCACTGAGAGCTCTAGAATTTATTCATCTTGCATAACTCAAACTTCATACCTATTGAACAGCAACTCTCCATTTCCCTCTTTCCCCAGTCCTCAGAAACCAACATTCTCCTCTCTCTTTCTAAAATTTATTTTTTCTTTTTCAACTTTTATTTCACAATCAGTGGGTATATGTTCAAGGCAAGTTTGTTATGGAGGTATATTGCATGAAGATGAGGTTTGGGGTGTGACTGAACCCATCACCCAGGGAGTGAGCATAGAAACCAACAGGTAGTATTTTTTAGCCCTTGTTATCCTCCTTATATGCCTCTATACTAGTCCCCAGTGTCTATTATTCTCACCTTTATTTTCATGTGTACCAATGTTTAGCTCTCACTTATAAGTGAGAACATGTGGTATTTGGTTTTCTGTTTCTACATTAGTTCACTTAGGATAATGGCCTCCAGCTGTATTCATGTTGCTGCAAAGGACATTATTCCATGGTGTATATTACCACATTTTCTTTATCCATTTCACTGTTGATGGACCCCTGGGTTGATTCAATGTATTTGCTATTGTGAATAGTGCTGACATGAACATACAGGCACATGTGTCCTTTTGGTAGAATGATTTATTTTCCTTTGGTTATATACCCAGTAGTGAGATTTCTGGGTCAAATAGTTCAACTGTTAGTTCTTTGAGAAATATCCAAACTGCAAAAATCATATGATTACCTCAAACAGATACAGAAAAAGCTTTTGATAAAATTTAACATCCTTCATGATAAAAGCCCTCAACAGACTAGGAACTGAAGGAACATACCTCAAAATAATAAGAGCTATCTTTGACAAACCCACAGCCAACATCACACTAAATAAGCTAAAGTTGGAACCATTCCCCTTGAGAACTGGAACAAGACAAGGATGTCTACTCTCACGACTCCTATTCAACATAGTACTGGAAATACAAGCCAGAGCAATCAGGCAAGAGAAATAAATAAAGGGCACCCGAATAGGAAAAGAAGAAGTCAAACTACCTCTATTCACTAATGATATGGTTCTATACCTGCAGAACCCTAAAGGCTCTGCCAAAAGGCTCCTAGAACTGATAAACAACTTCAGTAAAGTTTTAGGATACAAAATGAATGTGCAAAAATCAGTAGTATTTCTATACACTAGTAATATTCTAGCTGAGATTCAAACAAACAAACAAAAAAACCCACAATTCCATTTACACTAACCAGAAAAAAATCAAATACCTAGGAATACATCTAACCAAGGAGATGAAATATATTTACAAGAAGAATTGTAAAACACTGGTAAAAGAAAAATCAGAGATGATACAAATAAATGCCAAAACATTGCATGTTCATGGATAGGAAGAATCAATTGCATTAAAATGGCCATACTGCACACAGCAATTTACAAATTCAATGCGATTAATGTCAAACTACCACTGTCATTTTTCACAGAATTAGAAAAAAACTATTCTAATATTAAAAATAATATTCAAAAAAGAGCCCAAGTAGCCAAAGCAGTTCTAAGCAAAAAGAACAAAGCCAGAGGCATTAACATTACATGACTTCAAACTATACTACAAGGGGCTGCAGTGACAAAAACAGCATGGTACTGGTACAAAAATATATACATAGACAAATGGAACAGAATGGAGAACTCAGAAATATAGCCACACACCTACAACCATCAGATCTTCGACAAAGTCAACAAAAAGAAGCAATGAGGAAAGGACTCCATATTCAATAAATGGTGCTGGGATAACTGATTATTCATATGCAGAAGAATGAAACTGGACCCCTATCTATAACCATATAAAAATTAACTAAGATGACTTAAAGACTTTAATGTAAGACCTAAAACTATAAAAATCTTAGAAGAAACCCTAGGAAATACCCTTCTCACCATCAGCCTTGCCAAATAATTTATGGCTAAGTCCACATAAGCAATGGCAACAAAAACAAAAATTGATAAGTAGTACCTAATTCAACTAAGGAGCTTCTGAACAGCAAGAAAAACTATCAACAGAGTAAATAGACAACCTTCAGCAGGAGATAAAATATTCTCAAACTATGCATCCAACAAAAGTCTAACATCAAGAATGTATGGGAAACTTAAATCCATGAACAAAAACAAATGACCTCATTAAAAAATGAGCAAAGGACATGAACAGACACATTCCAAAAGATGACATACAAGTGACCAACCAACTATATGAAAAAATGTTAATCTGCATGAATCAAAAGAGAAATGTAAATCCAAATCACAATGAAATGCCATATCACATCAGTCAGAATGGCTTTTGTTAAAGTTTCAAAAAAAAATAACAGATGTTGGTGAGGCTGTGGAGAAAAGGGGACACATACAATGTTGGCGGCAATATATATTACTCCACTCCCTATATGATTTTTGACTATTTTAGAGTCCTCCTATAAGTGGAATCATGCAGTATTTGCAATTCTTTTATTGGCTTCATTCAGTTATCACAGTGTTCTCTAGGTTCATAGATGTTGCATATGACAGAATTGCCTTGTTAAGTCTGAATAATATTTCGTTGTACATATATTCATATTTTCCTTATTATTCATCCATTGATGGACACTTAGGTTATTTCTACATATTGGCTATTGTGAATAATGCTGAAATAAACATAGAAGTGCATAGAAATGCAAACATATCTTAAATGCTTGATTTCGATTTGTTTTGAATATATACCCAGTAGCTGGATTGCTAGTTCTATTTTGTATTTTTAAGGAACTTTCTAACTATGCTTTATAGTGGCTACACCAAACTATATTTCCACCCACACTATATTTCCAACACTGCACAATGGTTACAATTTCTTCACATCCTGCCGACACTTATCTTTTTAAAAATAATAGCCATTGTATGTGATATGAGATGATATATCATTGTGGTTTTGATTTGCAATTCCCTGTTATGATGTTGAACATATTTTCATATACCTGTGGGTCATTTGTATGTTTTCTATGGAGATATGTTCATTCAAGTTCTTTAATATTTTTGATTGGGGTATCATTATTATTTCAGCTATTAAGTTGTAGGAGTGCCTCAAGTATTTTGGATATTAACTCCTTATCACATGTATGGTTTGCCTGTATTTTCTCCCATTTCATAGGTTACCTGTTAAGATGTCTATCCTTTGATACACAATGAGAAGACAAAGATTCTTTCTTAGGCAGTTTGCATGCATACAGGGCACAGAAAAAGACAAAAGCTGGTAGTTTAAGAAGACCTTGAAAAGCACAAATAGTTAAAGCACACTGAAGTAAAAAGCTGAGTTCGAGATCTAATTGGGTTTGACAAATTTCAAGTGCTAAGTGAATAGCAAAATAAATTGAACATCTGTCCTATATTGGAACCTGTGAGACTTCCCCATCCTAAAATTGAATTCCCATGTGTAAGAGGCCTGCATTTAGATCTGTTCTGGAATTCCTGTGAAACCAAATACATGGATAAGTTTGATTTCTTCTTTGTTTTCAGGCATTCTTTTTATAAAGTAGCTGTTTTCACTAAATGAAAGCACAAATAAGTAAAATATTTATATTCCTATCTAGCCCAAATAAAATAGATAATGTGAGAAACAAAAACAAGGTCCAAAAATTAATGTTTTAGTAATTTCTAGATTATTGGATGTTTTTCGAAGCTTTTTATTTTTATTATTATTATTATTTTTTACAACAACGATATCTGACTCATCTTTGTAGTATTCCAAAGTAGTATTCCATTGTGGTTTAGAAAACCAAGACACCAAGATATTAGAAAGCTTACTTAAGGACTGAAATAAGATATTGTCAAAAAAAAGAAAAAAAAAGTCCACGCACCCTGGCTCTTGAACTCATGCTTTCAGTTACTGTATTTTACAGCTCTTGTGGCACATAAAAATATGGTGGTATTCATCACTAAAAATAATACCTCACTGAATTGATTAGACACAAATGTTCATATTCGTGCATATACATACATATATAGCAAAAAATAATGTTCAAAACAGTATAGGTTTCACACTAACCTTTATTTTAAAATGAAATTTAGGTGTGTATTGGAGTGTGGGGGTGTCTGTGCACTTTATCTAGAAGGATACACCATCCATTAGTAGTTTGTAACTCTGAAAATGAAGCTGACATGACCTGATTCAGAGGAGAAAAAGCCAAAATAATTATTATATACATGATTATAGAATATTTATTTTACAAAGGGATCATATTAACCTTTTCTAAAAATGTATACACCCTAAACATCAAATACAAAATTCAACTGAAAGTACACAATCTCAATTAAGCAGGTTATATAATGGTGACAATTATGATTGATGAATAGTTGGGCAAAATGTAGAAGTATAATTGCCTATTTGTATTTAGATTTTATTTAAATGTTACTTTATTTAAGCTACATTTAATGTTCAAAGCTTTACATTTTGTTAAGTCATTACCAATAAAGGAATATATGCTGAATAATAAAACCTGTACTCATCATCGTTGTGCATATAGGAAACGGCAAGAGAAGGCTAGTCTTCCTTAAATAGAATTAAATCAATGTACTGGCTGCCTTTGATACTAGAAATGGAGAAAATATAAATAGCTTCATATTATAAATTGAATATCAAGAAGAGATAGAAATCAGGTCTTAATGTTTCGTCTGTAGCGCATCTGAAATCTAAGCCCAACAAGAGATCTTGGTGTATCTTTTACTGTGATGCTGTTTATCAGGAAGAAACATTCAGGTCTGTGACTAATTTCTCCAAGAGCCACCTTCTCAGGAGCTTACTAATGCAACTAAGACAACTAAGGATCAATGAAAATATGGTTCATCCACTGTCTATGCCTCTCTTATGCCTAACTCCAAGTTACCTTTTCTATATTCTCTGCCTGGGCATGCTGGGGAGATGGAAAAGATAAAGAGCTGCTTGTTAATAAGCATAAGAGTTCTTCAAGCTTTCAGTGGCATTGATTTCATGTTCCCTAATCCAATATAAATACCTAATTGAGCTGCTAACAGTCACAGGATGTTTTATCTTGATTCTCCATGGTAGTGGTCAGAAATCCCTGTCTCCGATTCCTCTCAAAGGAGTTAGGAGGATGTGTAAAATATATCTGACCAGGATTGGATTCAAGATATCATCGATTAAGTTATGTCTTAAAGAGAATGTCAAAATTTATGAGCAAAAGATAATCATTAAATTAGCCTTGCTTTTCTATAAATCAGGGACCTCAAACTTAAATGCAGGTAACATAACAAGGCACACAGCATAAATGAATTCAGCAGAAAATTCTCCATCTAAAGGAAGCTGGTACTGTTTAATTCCAGTCAATTATAGCCTGAAATAAATGCTGCATAGGTCCAAAGTAGCAAGATTGCCTTTTGTTTCTTTGCTTGTTTAGTTTTGTTTTTGTTCTTTGTGGAGGGAAGTGTTTTGTTTTGTTTTTCAAGAGGCAGCTGAAGAAGCCTCACTAAAATCACAAAGGAGATAGCAGTTATTGCTAATTCTCACTCTTCTTACTAGAATAATATTTATCAAACATTAGTGAACACATAGATTACCTAAGAATTTTGTTAAAATGTAGACTTTTATTTAGTAGATCTGGGGTGGGGCTTAGGATTCTGCATTTCTTGCTAATTCCAATGGGATGTCAATGTTGCTGGTTCATGGATTACACTGATAGTAGCAAGGTACTCACTTATTACTTAACTACATGTTAATCTTCCAGTTGTAAAATGTAAGCTGCTGAATTACCAAAGGAATGCCTATTTGAAGATGAAAAGTAGAAAAGATAATATTTCCTAGTCAGTTGGCCAAGTATGCTATAATCTTATAAAATGCCTATTTACAAGTCATGTACTCACAGGTAACACAGCAGCATATTTCTCTTTTGATGTTAGTGTCAGTTTATAATCAAAATTTAACTTTTCATTTAGTTCCTAAGTTTAGTCAACTTTAGTTTTTCAAACACACTTACATTGCTCAACACATAAATAAATGGTATAAAAATATATAGTGATTCTGGGAGGAAGGAGGGCTTGATGTAAGTACACCACGTAACCCTGAGGAATCCGTCAAACTGGAGTGTTTCAGAGTCACTGATCACACAAGCAATTGTCTATGGGTGAGGGGATGTTGTTTCCAGTTATCCAATATCTTATTTCCCAAGAGAGTTATTTGTAGGATAGTTGAGCATCAAAGGCAGTAATCAAACTAGGATCATTAAAATTCCTTGTCACAAATAAAAAAGGCCTGTGAGCACAACACATACTTTTTATACTTAACTTGCAAGCTTGGGAGGATCTGTTACAATGTAATTTTAGGGTCTCAGTTGTCCCATTTATGATGTCCACTGTTCAATTTTGTAAATCAATGAGTTTTCCTAAATGGTGGTCACAATACTGTAGATTAGCACATGCCTACAAAATGATCACTTCTATATTTCTCATTTCTAAAATAAATGAAACCACTGGTTTCTCTTTTTATAATTTGTAAATTCCCTTTGTTGATTATATATGATTGCCCATATGGTCAGGCAAAGTTTGGAAAGAAATAATTTTTGCCTGACTGACTACTATTTAATTACAGTTTGACACCATAGTCCCTTCTTAGGAATGACCGTTATCGTTAAGTCCACGACTTTACTATATGTATATAATAAATGTATACTTTAGTTTCTCAAACACACTTACATTGCTCAACACATAAACAAATGGTATAAAATATGTTGTAATTTTGGGAGGAAGGAGGGCTTGATGTAAGTACACCACATAACCCTGAGGAATCCATCAAACTGGAGTGTTTCAGAGTCACTCTCCTAAGGACGTTTGCTTGCAAATACAAATTCTCTGAAGACAAAAAAGCTTTTAAGGCTCACAGTATTCAATCTTAATGCCTGTCATCATTTCAGGCATTATACCTGAAATGAGGTGAGGATATTGGGAAGTATTAATGAAATTGGGATACATACTTAAGACCAAAAAGTATTTGGCTTGAGAAAACTGCAACAAGAATTCTCCATCCATGTGTGTCAGTGTCAACTAATTTCACTTATGTTTTATTTCATGATACTAGTTAGATTAAAAATAAAATATAAAAGAAAATTAACATACTGATAACAGGTTTACATCCATCATGTGAATTTATAGAACACTAGAATATATGTGTGTGTGTGTGTGTGTGTGTATTCTAGAAAATAATTTATTATAAGATACTAGCTTATGTAATCTTGGAGACTGAGAATTCTTACATTCTGCTATCTGCCCCTTGGGAACCCAGGAAAGCCAGTGATGTACTTCTAAGGCCTAAGAGGCTGAGAACTGATGGTGTAGATTCCAATTCAAAGGCCAAAGAACCAGGAGCACCAAGGGCAAAAAAAGATCCATATCTTAGCTCAAGATTTAAGGTAGAGAGTAAATTCAACCTTCCTCCACCTTTTTCTTCTATTCAGACCCTCAAGGGATTGAATGATGTGTATCTGTACTGGGGAGACCGCCTGTTTCCTCCATCCATGTACTCAAATGCTAACCTTGTCCAGAAACACCCTCTCAGAAACATTCAGAAAAAATGTTTAACTAGATATCTGGGCATCATATGGCCTAACCAAGCTGATATTTAAAATTTACACTCTCCTATATATTTTTTATGTAATGATATAAATACTGATTTATAAATACAGACATATAAATACACATATAACTTAAGACACCAGATAAATATTTAGGGGAATAGCACAATTATTATTTTAATACTTGTTGACATATACATTTTATATTTAATAAAATACCATATAGAATAAAAATGTCAAAGCAGCATAATACCTAGTGATGTTCCACAGTATGATAAAATAATTGAATGAATTATTGAATGAATTTCTCTGTTAATTTCTCTACTTGCTTAATTTTCATATGCTGGTTGGCCCCCCATCTGTCCTGACATAACATTAAAAGGTTGAAATATGCATTTCATTTATTGACAAAAGACAACTGCCATGGTATTTGGATATTTGTAAACTACCAGTGGGGAAACATTAGCACTGAGAATGGTTAATACATATTATATGATTATATATTCTTTGTAAGTAATTAACTGTGTCTTCTTTCACATTAGGATTTTTAATGACTTCCATAGTAATTAGCTAATAATACCTTTGAATATAAATCTTTAAACTGTAAGTTAATTGAGTAAGGGTTTATTAAATACCTTCTTCATCTATAAACTCTGCCAGACATTGGACAAACAACCATATGTTTGTGGTAAGTTAACTTACTTGAGAAGAGAAGGCACGCACACATATGGGCACACACTAATAATAAAAGGTAGGATTTTTTTTTCTTTTTCAACTTTTACTCTAGATTTAGGGAGTATATGTGCAATGTGCAGATTTTTTTTTTATTTTTTTTTGCCTGGGTAAAAAAATTGTGTGATACTGAGATTTGGGTTACAAATGATCCCCTCTCTACTGAGCATCATAGCCAACAGTTT
Source organism: Homo sapiens (assembly GCF_000001405.40). Taxonomy (NCBI): domain Eukaryota; kingdom Metazoa; phylum Chordata; class Mammalia; order Primates; family Hominidae; genus Homo; species Homo sapiens. Next base: position 82,158,386 of record NC_000013.11, read on the forward strand.
TTCCACACTTGCCCTCATCTCTTCCTCCTGCCTCTAGTACTCTCCAGTGTCTATCGTCACCAGAAGATAGCATTTTTATTCTATGCTTTCAGTGTACAGTTACAGCATGTAGGAAATAAGTAGGGAGTTCATGAGAAAAATAAAAGGTCAAAGGATGTTTCAGAATGACTAACTTTAACAAAGGTTACATGGATATATTGTGTAATGATGAAGTCTGGGCTATTAGTTTATCCATCACTCAAATGGTGTACATTGTACTCACTAGGTAATTTCTCATCCCACACTCCACTTTGACATCAGAAAATCCAAGTATTCCTTTGAACTTCTCAAATACTATCTTTGGGAATTAACTTCTGTACCTTCCTTGCTAACTGGAAGCTACTATTTAGTGAACTGTGGTTTAGTGGATTAAGTTTGCTATCATGTGTAAATGACTTTGTAAAGTGTCTCACCCAAAGAAAGAGCCAAAAAGCATTTATTTATTTATTTGAGGTAATTTTAGCATAATTATTTTTCTTATTATGTTCATATTCCTATGCTCATGATTTTTACATTTTCTTTTAGAAAACATGAAGAAAGTTTTATGTAGGGATGAGACAAGGTTCAGTGTATATTTTAAATTCTAAGACTGCTTGTGGGAAAAGGAATACTAAAGAAGCTATATTTAGAGGCTATAGCAAGAGTACAGGAGAGAATGGAAAACTATCTTCCAAACCAGATGAATGATTTTCAAATAAATACAGATCCTTGAATTTAACATTTAAAAAATTGATGTACAAATTATTTAAGTAAATGATCCATGATTACAATATGATTCTAATAAAAGGCTACAATCTGTATGAAATCATCATTTGCTTGTTATATTTTTATTTTATGCAAAATGCATAATCATATTTACTCGCTGAGATTTTTTACATTCCACATGGGAAAACCATATTACTCCATTTATAATCAACCCCACACCTCACATTTAGTAATCTCTCACCTCTTAGTCTTCTTTTTTTGTCAGTGCCCAAATAATCTTTCTAAAACATTATTTTGCATTTGCCTCCCTGCCCACTCTGGGCAAACATAAAGGGATCTTCAACATATTAATTAGTTTGGCTCCAAAAAAATGCTTCATTAATAAAGGTTGCTGCATAGATTTGAAGGGCCCATTGGGAACGATAATAGGGACAGAAAGGCAGGCAGATAAATAGATTTGTACACAGATAGAAATATTATATGAAAAAGGCCAAAGGAATATGTTATTTGACATATATGTGTGGATATGTCTCTCTTTTTTAATAAAGTCTTTATTGTATTTGGTTGAATTGACTGATATCTGAGAAATCAGTGGAGTAATGGATAGATGGAATGACGGAAGATAGACATATTTTATCCAAGATACATACATGACAAAGATGCCAACTTTTTACCTATGAGCCAAAATCCATAGCAGAGTGCTTCATCCCACGATAGTATTTGTCCTTTTATTAACATATTATTATTTGTCACTTACAGTAATACTTTCAATTATATTTCAACTTATGAAAATAAAGGAGAGCATACTAATTATACCCACAAGTTATTCTAGCATTTACTAGTTTTATTTATTTTATTTTCAGATTCACTAGTTCAACAGGGACATTCAAATCAGTTCTTATGTTTCTATAATGTTATATATTTATATTTCTACCAATGCATATATCTGTATTTATACCTGCTGTAGTACAAAACTTTTACACAAATTTTATTATAAGCATTTATCAATTTCTTTAAATATTATACCATTTTAAGGTTACATAGGTGTGCAGATTATCCCACCATGTGGAAACACAAGACATTACTGAATAGCAAACAAATGTTATTTGTTATTCATTGCTATCTCTATGCACACACAATTTGTAATAAGATCTATAACAGTGGCATATTTGTCTTTGGAAGCTAAACATACAGACATCTGGTGCATACTTTATACCTTGTGCTAATTGCTTTCAAAAATAATAAGTGACCCAGGTGTAGTGGCTCATGCCTGTAATCCCAGCATTTTGTGAGGTTGAGGCAGGAGGACTCCTTGAATCCAGGAGTTAGAGATAAGCCTGCACAACAGAGCAAGATTTTGTCTCTACAAAAGATAAAAAATTCGCTGCGTGTGGTGACACATGCCTGTAGTTCCAGCTACTTCGGAGGCTGAGGTGTGAGGATCACTTGAGCCCAAGAGGTTGAGGTGGCAGTGTGGCAGGATCATGCCACTGCACTCAGTCTGGGCAACAGAGTGAGACCTTGTCTCAAAACCAACTAAGTAAAAAGTGACATAAAATATAGTACTTGCCAAGAAGGATAAATTAGACACATGCACACACAAACAGAAAAAAGTGAATAAGAATGTATATAGGTACTGTACAGTGAAGCAAATATGTCAAAACTCCTATTCTTTCCACCCAAATATATTAAATTTATTTCAATATATTTTTGCTGCACTGGCTATAAATAAGTCCCTATTTTATATACAAATTATGTATATTAGTTCCTGCTACTTGTGTATTCTATTAATTCAATTTGAAACAATTTAAACCTTGAAATTTAAGTTTAGATTGCCAATTACTTTTAAGGCATATCTCATATACATGCTTAGTCATAGAGAAGCAGATATTAATATATTTTTAAACTAACAGAGAAAATATTTTTTAAATGGCATATTCAACAGTTAGTGGCACAAGATGTAAACCTAATAATTTGTAATAACCTAGAATATATTACAAAAATAAAATCACTTTTTAAATTATATTTATGTATTAGTTAGCCAATATCTTACCCAGGATATTTCTTGTGTTATAATAACTAATAACATAGAAATAAATTATACTTTAAAGTCATGCAGGACAGGGTTATTATTATTTATATTTTGTATAGATTTTCATCTCAGTGTGAAGATAAATTACTCCATTATTGCAAAAAATATAATATGTTAACCACCCTGTAAAGAAAATTACAAATTTGTATTTGTTTTTAACATCAATTAAGAAATATAACAAGAGTAAATAATGGAAAAAAAATGAACAGGATGGCTACATTCAAGTCATGGCTGTCAGAAATTTCTATTTTACTTTCTAATCTGCCCAATGTTCTGTGAAAAGAGCCAATGTTCAATCCTAATCACAGTCGTGACAGCTATCCAGATTTGAAAGTTTTGTACACATAAAAGATAAAGGGTAAATCAATCTTCGTAGAGTTTTGATTCTAGGATATTATTACGTGAGACAACAAATCATGCTGTTTCGTTTTTGTTTTGTTTTTTTACATATTTTTTCCATTTGAAGTTAGATATAGTCTAAAAACTATCAGATTAATTTAAAATTATGAATTTCTTTGGAATTTTATTAACGTTAATAAGAATGTTCATTTTTGTACTGATTTGGGGCATATAATGGATTTTTATTCACATAATTATGCTATTAAAACTCACTAATTTATTTGGTAATATAATTAGGATTTACAAATGAAATTAATAATACTTACTACTTTGTAAACTGTAATGGTTGCATGCATTATTAAATGTGTTAATAAGCACTATTTATAAATAATTATAGCTAAAATATATTTCAGTTTTTATGTATACACTGTCCATTATTTCTGAAATAATTCTTCAAATTAATTGAGACACATGGCATTTTTGGCCACAGCACCACTTTCAAATCAGCAATTACAATTATTCTTGAAACAACAATAAATCCCATTAATTCAACAATGCCAAAAATGCAATGGGAAAATTTCCAGGAAAATAAATTTACCAAGAAGTATTTATGTTCAATTAACAAACTATTTTGAGACTACTTACACTGAGGAGTAGACATTCCAACTAAGACAATGCTGAAAGTTCATTTTCTTCTATCAGATTTACAAAATAATGCCTATAGTTTGGTAACCCAAGCATTCTCATACAATTCTTAATGGAAATGTACACATCTTTTATTTTGCAATATTTACGATGTGTCAAAATTAGAAAAAATGCACATAAATATTTTCTCAACATATGTGGAACAAGATATGCACAAGATGCTTGATGCAGCATTGTTATAGGAACCAACTTTTTGAATTTTCTTGAAAGGATTTTTTGCAAAAGATCAAGAAATCTATATAAATTGAATCCTTATTTTGATGTGTTTTGTGTACAAAAATATAGGGTAGTTTACGGACTTATGGTTTTTTTTAGAAATTTATAACAACAACAAAAAATGGAACATATGTTGTAAAAAATAAAGTATAGAGTACTCTTGATGATATGACATGGGACTATCCCCTACGATAGAAGAACATGAAGAAGTGATAGTTGATGTAAGGTCAGACAAATGATTGAGTTTATCAGTTCCCTGGCCCAAGAAAGAAGACTGTCAGAATATACTAAGTGCTTAAATAAGACTGTACACAGAAGATGCTAAGAGTTTAAAGAAGACTAAGCTGAAGCAATAGTGTACAGGGACAAAGGAAAAATAGCTACTGTAAATGCAAAGAAGTGTACAGAGTAGGTAATTAAAATGTGGTATTGGAAAGATGTAGTGATTGACTGAATATAAAGAGTAAAGGTATATGGCAGTAAAATATTTCAGATTTTTGACTTGAGTAACTTGAGAGGTAATGCTACTTAGAAATATAGTGAACAGTGGGAAAAAACGAGTTTTTTGTTTTTATTTTCTTTTTGATGCAATGAAGGTTAATTGTGAGCTCAGTTTACTGTGGTAGATTTGAGGTGCCTAAGAGGTATAAAAGTGAAATCATCTTGCAAATACTTGCATTTTTCCAAAAATTAGGAGAAATGACAATGATTATATCTTTGGGAATCATCAAGATAATTGCAACCACTAGAATCACTGAAATCAACTAGGATGTAAGAAGATAAGAGCATATGAGATGCAACCCTGGTAATTTCCCTCATTTATGGATTTGGTAGGGGAGAAGGAAGCAATGCTAAATGAGAAGCAGCCAGCAAATACAAATGGAATCTAATAGATGGTGTTTTTAGAAAGCTAGGGTTAAGGCTATTTTGCGGAGAAGTGTGCTCAGCAGTGTCAACAGTTTTCTCCAAAATGATCAGGATTTTTTAAAAAAAGACATAGAATTTTCTGACATAGCAAGACATTAGAGACAGAAATAGAAATAGTTTTAACATGCAGTATGCTTTGAAACCATAAATGAGTTCAGTAAGGTGCAAGTGGTGGGTGTAGAAATGCAGACGGTCAGATCAGAAGCTCTTTTGATGTATCATGAAAAGAATTAAATATATAAAGACGTTGGGAGACTACGATGACATTTGAGAAGGTTTTGTGTCTGTATTTCATCTACTGAAAAAGGTTGGACAGGAAGGAAAAACAGAGCGAGTTGTTGAAAATACAAAAAAAAAGAAAAAAATGAAAAATCTATAAAATTGTGAGTGAATAACATGAGAATATGCAGAAAGTGGTTTACCTCTTCAATATTATTATTACTGAATCGCTGGGGTGTCAATTTTTCTGGCCAGAAACCTCTGTGGCCATGGTGCCTTTGTCCAAATTCTTGTTCTGTGTCCAGGAAGAATGAGGTACACAGACAACTGGAAGGTGAAGAAGAAGAGTTTTATTAGACAGCCCAGAGAAGTGGGTAGCTCCTCTCTACTGGTAGGTCATCTTGTCTAGTGTGTTCAGCTATCAGCAAAGAGGTGGCCCTGGAAAGAATGGCTCCTCTCTGCAGGCAAGTCTTTCCCACCTCTTTGCAGGTCTCTGAAGCTCTCAGCAAAGAGGGTAGCTCTGCTCTACCGGTGGGTCCTCTCTGCAGCTCTAGGCTGAGAGGGTACTCTTTTCTGCAGCTGATCATCCTATCTCAGTGTGTCCGGAATTGGTGGGTTCTTGGTCTCACTGACTTCAAGAATGAAGCCGCGGACCCTCACGGTGAGTGTTACAGTTCTTAAAGTCGGCGTGTCCAGAGTTTGTTCCTTCTGATGTTCGGATGTGTTCGGAGTTCCTTCCTTCTGGTGTCTTCTTGGTCTCACTGGCTCAGGAGTGAAGCTGCAGACCTTCTCGGTGAGTGTTACAGCTCATAAAGCAGTGTGGACCCAAAGAGTGAGCAACAGCAAGATTTATTGCAAAGAGCGAAAAAACAAAGCTTCCACAGTGTGGAAGGGGACCTGAGCGGATTGCCACTCCTAGCTCGGCAGCCTGCTTTTATTCTGTTATCTGGCCCCACCCACATCCTGCTGATTGTTCCATTTTACAGAGAGCCTAGTGGTCTGTTTTGACAGGCCATTGATTGGTGCGTTTACAATCCCTGAGCTAGACACAAAGGTTCTCCAAGTCCCCACCAGAGTAGCTAGATACAGAGTGCCCACTGGTGCATTCACAAACCCTGAGCTAGACACAGGGTGCTGATTGGTGTGTTCACAAACCCTGAGCTAGATACAGAGTGCCGATTGGTGTATTTACAATCCCTTAGCTAGACATAAAGGTTCTCCAAGTTCCCACTAGACTCAGGAGCCCAGCTGGCCTCACCCAGTGGATCTCACACTGGGGCTGCAGGTGGAGCTGCCTGCTAGTCCCGTGCGGTGTACCCACACTCCTCAGCCCTTGGGTGGTCAACGGGACTGGGCGCCGTGGAGCAGGGGGCGGCGCTCATCAGGGAGGCTCGGGCTGCACAGGAGCCCACGGAGGGGCTGGGGGGAGGCTCAGGCATGGCGGGCTGCAAGTCCCGAGCCCTGCCCCTCGGGAAGGCAGCTAAGGCCCCCCGAGAAATCGAGCGCTGCGCCGGTGGGCCGGCACTGCTGGGGGACCCAGTACACCCTCCGCAGCCGCTGGCCCAGGTGCTAAGCTCCTTATTGCCCAGGGCCGACAGGGCCAGCCAGCTGCTCCGAGTGTGGAGCCCGCCAAGCCCACACCCACCCGGAATTCCAGCTGGCCCGCAAGCGCCCCACGCAGCCCCGGTTGCCGCTGGCGCCTCTCCCTTCACATCTCCCTGCAAGCTGAGGGAGCAGGCTTCAGCCTTGGCCAGCCCAGAAAGGGGCTCCCACAGTGCAGCGGCGGGCTGAAGGGCTCCTCAAGTGCCGCCAAAGTGGGATCCCAGGCAGAGGAGGTGCTGAGAGCAAGCGAGGGCTGTGAGGGCTGCCAGCACGCTGTCACCTCTCACCGACATCTCTTTGCCCTCTTTGTCCTCTGTCCATCCTCTGCCCTGCACTGGCTGATCCCAGGACTTTTATGGACCTCAGAGGGGAGGAAGTGCATGCTGATTGGTGTACGGGTGGCCATGGGCAGGACAGGAAGAGGCACCAGGATCCCCACCCAGGACTTTGCCTCCCGCTGCCATTCATGGCCCCAGGGCTTGGCTCCAACCCTGCTCTTGAGATTAAAGGGCTGCAGCTGAACGCAGGAGTTCCCGCCCTGCCAACTCGGAAGGGGCGGGATTCCCGCTTGTCCCCAGCTCCTAGTGAGTCAGAGGCCCAGGTCTGCAGCTGCAAGATGCCCTGGGAGGGCAGATCCTGCCTGTTCCTGGCCCCCACAAGAGCACAAGGAAGCTCAGATCCAAAGCTGCAGTTTGGGTGGCTGTAGCCCCGCCCAGGAGGTTAGGGCTTCCTTCTGCTGGGTAGAGCAGGAGGCCTGGGTCTGCAGCTGCGGTTCGTGGCTCCCATCCCATCTCAGAAGGGGAGGGGCTTCCACAGAGTCCATGTAGTGTGGAGCCCCAGCCATGTAGCGTGATGGCAGCAGCCACTGCCACCAACATAAAAGAAGTAAAATAAAAACAACGGCAACAACAACAAAAAACCCCCACAAAACCATGATGGACCCAGGTTCCAGGTATTTGGGACGTAAAGCAGAAGTGGCTGTCAATCCAATGTTTTTTATTTGATTATGTAGTAGGATGCAATTTCTTCGACTGAAAATAAGGAAGAAATTGGGGTTACCAAGTTTTATCAAGACTGAAATTGATTTTAAAAACGACTGTAGAGAGACGAATGGAATAGGAAAATGTTGCAGTGTTTCAGAGCATTGTTCAGTGACCGTTTATGGTTAGTGTCTCTGAACTTATGAGGAATCAATTCATAGAAACACAGCACAAAATCCTGCATGGATAGTGAAGGCAAATAGTTTTATAAATGTTTCTGACATGAACACACACATGTTCTAAATATAGAAGATTAATGCAAGTTTTAGGATGCTGCGACAAGTGATAAAATCAGAAATACCTAAAACCTAGGCTAAGAAGAAACGGAAAAGCAGAATGACCAATCAGAACACTCAAGGGAACAAAAATGTGAAGATGTGGATCAGTCCACTGAACAGGCTATCTGATGGTATTTGAGTAAACAACCGAAGAAAATACCATATTTTATTCGTGTTATTCTTATGTAGTTTTGTTCTGGCTTTGTTTCTTTTTGCTTTCATATTGCTATTATTTGTTTTGTTTTCTGCTTTTTACTTGCAGTTGAACTAATCCTAAGTTATACACTGCCAATATTTCACAGAAATGACATGGTAATTCTCTCTTTTCTGTGTAAAATGACTGAAAAAATAAAGCACTCTTCCTAATGGCAAAGGTAATCCTAGGAAAACAGTATTTTCTATTACAGTGTTGCAGGATGTGTCAATTCTCAGAAATCTCTCGGTAGATGTGAGATACATGTATTTCAAATAATTTATTAGTGACCTACAAGTTCAAGGTTAATTGTGAAAGATTACATATTGAATTTTTTCTCAATATTTATGTTTGGAAGTCATTCACTATCAGTTGGCAACTTTTAGTAAACATGAGATTTGTGTGAGAATGCTGGGTTGGTTTCTTTTTGAGGCAGTCCAAGGATAAAAGTAAAAATGTTTTCTAACATGTTCACGGGTCAAAAAAACTGAGAAATAAAGAAGAGAATAGGCATCCTACTTACTATCAAATAGTTGTAAGAAAAAAAAAATCATGTTTTGGCTCCAGTAAACTACATTAAGATTAGAATTGTCACATGACTGTTATTGTGTCATATTTTTGAAGGGCGGTTTTGATAAATTATAAAGCTTCTGCAGAAAGGGATTTATATAGATTTTTAAAAGAATGAAGTAGATAAATTTACATTTATGTGTAATAAAATGGAATACACTGAGATCAAGTTATATTGTTGACTGGAAAGGTATAGATGACTAACACTATGTATTACAAAATTTAATGAGTTCTACCTTCCATATAATTTGAAAAGAAATCTTAGAATCTAGACATATGATCTGGTTTGGAAAATATGCCAAGGCAATGTTGCACATTGGTGGAGCAAAATCTCAAAATTTCTATGAATGCGAGAGGTAAAAGTGAAGTTTTTTTACATAGATATAATGTGTGGTGGTGAAAACTAGGGTTTTTAGTGTAATTATCACCCAAATAGTGTATATCATACCCATTAAGTAATTTCTCATCCCTCACCCTCTTTTATCTTCCTACCCTTCCCAGTCTCCAGTAACTGTTACTCTACTATCAGGTGTACACATCATTTAGCTCCATCTTATAAGTACATGTGAGTTTGGACTTACTCTTTCTGCATGGTTTTACTTAATATACTAGACTCCAGTTCCATTTATGCTGCTAGAAAAGACATGATTCCATTATGTTTTATGAATAGTATTCCATTATATATATTTACACACACCACATTTTTAATACAATCATCTGTTGATGGGCACTTAAGTGGATTCTATATCTTGGCTATTGTAGACAGTGCTGTGATAAACATATGTGTGCAGGTATCTTTTCATTTTCATGATTCATTTTGTTTTGTATATATAATTAGTAGTGGGATTGCTACATCAAATGGTAGTTCTGTTTTTAATCCTTAGAATAATCTCCATACTGTTTTTCATAGAGGTTTTACTAATTTACATTTCTACCAATAGTGCACAAGCATTCCCTTTTCTCGGCATCCTCACTATCTATTATTTTTCAACTTTTTAGTAATAGCCATTCTGACTGGTGTGAGATGCTATTTCACTGTGGTTTTAATTTGCATTTCTCTGATGATTAATGATGTTGAGCATTTTTTTCACATGTTTCTTTTGCCACTTGCATGTTTTCTTTTGCAAAAAGTATGTTCATGTTCCTTGCACACTTTTTACTGGAGTTATTTGTTTTTGTTATTGTTCTTGATGAGTTGTTTGCATTCCTTGCAAATTCTAGGTATTAGCCCCCAGTTGAATTCATCAGTTTGCAAACATTTTCTCCCATTCTGCAAGTTGTCTGTTCACTCTGTTGATGATGATGATGAAGATGATTAATATTATTTACTGTTTAGAAGCTTTTTAGTTTAATTAACTCCCATTTGTCTATTTTTTGTTTTGTTGCTTATGCTTTTGAGATCTTTGTCATGAATTATTTGCCTAGGCCAATGTTGAGAAGAGTTTTCTCTAGGTGTTCTTCTAGTATTTTTAAAGTTTAAAGCCTTATATTTGAGCATTTGATTCATCTCGAGTTGATTTTTGTATTTGATGAGAGATAGGAGGTCCAGTTTTATTCTTCTGTATATGGCAAAATAAATAATAACAGAAAAATCGAGATTAATAAAAATGGAATTTGGGAAATGTGCAGATATGTGAAAATTACACAGCACACTCCTAAATAACAAATAAAGAAGAATGCATAAGGAAAATTATATATAGTTTAAGATCAATGAAAACAAAACAAAAAACACTATATTTCAAAATTATGGGATGCAGCTATAGCAGTACTTAGAGAAAAACTTATGGTTGGAAGCACCCATGTTAAATAAGAAGAATGATACTAAACCAATAGTCAAGTTTTCCACCTTAAAAAAGCTAATATAAGAAATAAAAACTAAACCCACAGGAAGTAGGAGAAAAATAATAAAGACTAGGGAGGAAATAAAATAGATAATAGAAAAACAAAGGGAACAAATTAAGGAAATCAACGTTTGTCAGCAATGTTAACAAAATTCACAAACCTTAGCTAGATTTACCAAGAAAGAAGAGAGAGAGACAGAGAGAGAGAGAGAGAGAGAGAGAGAGAAAGAGAGAGAAAGAGAGAGAGAAAGAGAAAGGAGGTCGATAACTCAAATCACAAAAATCAGGAATGAGAGGGTGAACATTACTACAAGTCTTACAAAAAACAATTATAAGCTAATACTATTAACAAGTGTTTGCCAACAAATTAGATAACCTAGATGAAATGAACAAATTCCTAGAAAGACACAAACTAACTAAATGGACTCAAGAAGAAATAGAAGGTGGCTAACTAGAGGCATCTGCTACTCACCTCCTTCACAAAGAAGAATCAAAATAGTGAGTAGATAATCATACTTCAAATAGATTGCCTAAGAGAGAATTCTGGAATTCAACAGAAAAATCACAGAAAACATCTAAGACAACAGGGAAAAAGGGAGGAAGTAGGCCGCCTGATTGGCCAGGAAAGCCTGGGAGCCTGGAGAGGCTCCCCAGTGCAGGGAAAGAGTGAGTAACAAAGGAGGCCAACAATGGAAGAAGCATTAGATTTAAACTGCACTTCAGAACAAAATGGACCCAACAGACTTTTACAGAACATTTCATCCAACAGCTACAGAATACATATTTTTCTCCAGGATAGATCATATGTTGGGACATGTCTCAACAAATTATAAAAATTGAAATCTTATCAATACAGTTGAATAAAAGTAGAAATCAATATTTAAAAGAACTTTGAAAACTGTACAAATATATGAAAATCGAACAACATGCTCCTGAATGACGACTGGGTCTAGGAAGACACTAAGGAGAAAATTTAAAAATTTTGTGAAATAATTTAAATACAAAGCAGAACATAGCAAAACCTATGGAATAAAGCAAAAGCAGTACTAAGAGGAAAGTTTATAGCAATAAACACCCACATCAAAAAGGTAGAATAATTCCAAATAAACAATCTAACTATGCACCTCAAAGAAGTAGAAAAGCAGGAATCAACCAAACTGAAAATTAGAAGAAGAAAAAAAGTAATAAAAATCAAAGGAATCCTAAGCAAAAAGAACAAAGCTGGCGGCATCACATTACCTGATTTCCAATTATACTACAAACCTTTAGTAACCAAAACATAATGGTACTGGTATAAAAATAGAAACATTGATCAATGAAACAGAATAGAGAACCCAGAAATAGAGCTACATACCTAAAACCAACTGATCTTTAACAAAGCCAACAAAAACATACAATGGGGAAAGAAGACGCTGTTCAATAAATGGCGATGGAAAAATTATATTACCATATGCAGAAGAATGAAACTGCACACCTATCTCTCACCATATACAAAAATTAACACAGAATGCATTAAACACTTAAATGTACAACTTGAAACTATAAGAATACTATAAGAAAACCTAGGAAAAACTCTTCTGTACATTGGCCTAGGCAAATAATTCATGACTAAGACCTTGTAAACAAATGCAATATGAACCAAAATAGACAAATGAGACTTGACTAAACTAAAAAGCTTCTGAACAGCAAAAGAAATAATCAACAGAGTGATCACACAGACTGGAGAATGAGAGAAAAAATTGCAAACTATGAATCTGACAGGAGACTAATATTGAGAATCTACAGGGAACTCAAACAACTCAACAACAACAAAAAACAAATGACCCTACTAAAAAGCGGAAAAAAGGATATGAACAGACATTTTACAAAAGATAACATACAAATGTCTAACAAGCTTATTTAAAATGCCCAACATCACTAATCATCAGAGAAATGCAAATTAAAACCACACTGAAATACCATCTCACACCAGTCAGAATGTTTTGTTATTAAAAAGACAAAAAATAACAGGCAGTTATGAGGATGTGAAAAAATGGAAATGCTTATACATTGTTGGTGGGAATGTAAATTAGTACCATCTTTATGAAAAATAGTATGCAGATTTCTTAAAGAATAAAAAATCGATACAACATTGGATTTAGCAATACCCGTCAGATATACTACTCAAAGAAAAAAAAAATCATTTTATCAAAAAGACACATGTGCCTGTGTATTCACAACAGCACTGTTCACAAGAGCAAAGATATGGAATTCAGCTAAGTATCCATCAACAGAAGATTCAATTAAAATGTTGTGTTTATATGTGCATGTCTGTGTGCATGTGCGCAAACACGTGCGCGCGCACACACACCATGAGATACTATTCAGCCATAAAAATGAATGGAATCATGTATTTTGCAGCAGCGTGGATGTAACTGAAGGCCATTTTCTTAAGTGAAACAACTCAGAAACAGAAAGTCAAATGCCACATATTGTCACGCATCAGTGGGAGTTAGATAATGTGTACACCTGTACATTGAAGGTGGAATAATACACAATGGAGATTTGGAAAGGTGGGAGGGTTGAGGGGTCTGTGAGATGAAAAAAAAATAATGAGTACAAAGTACACTATTCATGTTATGGTTAGACAAAAAACCATACTTCCCCACTATGCAATATATCTGAGTTACAAAATGGCACTTGTACACCCTAAATCTATAAAAATTAAAAAAAAAATTAAAACAGGAAAAAAAGATCAGAGCATAACTCAATGAAATTGAGATTATAAAGTCAATGCAAAGCACCAATGAAACGAAAAGTTGTTTTTAAAAAGATAAACAAAGCTAACCAAAAAAAAGAAAAAAGAAAAAAATAAAATTAGAAATGAAATAGAAGACATTACATCTGATACCACAGAAATGTTAAAGATCACTAGATACTATTGTGAATAATTATACAATAACCAACTGGAAAATCTAGAGGACATGGATAAATTCCTAGACACATACAAATTACCAAGTTTGAATCAGGAAGAAACAGAAAACCTTAACAACCATTAGCAAGTAATGAAATTGAATCAGTAACAAAAATTCTCCCAACAAAAGAGAATTCCAAGGCCTTAGGGCTTCCCTGCCAAAATTTAACAAAAGTGCAGAGAACAAACACCAAGTCTCCTTAAATTATTCCAAAACATTGAAAAGGGGGGAATTCTTCCTAACTCATATTACAAGGCAAGCATTACCCTGATACCAAATTGGACAAGGATGCAACAACAAAAAAAGACAACTACATGCCAATATCCTTAATGAACATAGATGCAAATATCCTCAAAAACATACTAGCAAACTGAATCCAACAGCATATCAAAAAGATAATTCAACATGAGAAAGTGAGATTTATACCAGGGGTGCAAGGATGGAGGGATGCACAAATCAGTAAATGTGATATATCAAATCCACAGAATGAAGGACCATAATCCTAGGATTATCTCAATAGATGCAGAAAAATCACTTGATAAAATTTAAAGCCCTGTATCAGACTGATTCACAGGTGAATTCTACCAGACATATAAAGAAGAGTTGGCACCAATCCATTGAAACTATGACAAAATAATTGAGGAAGAGGGCAATGCAAAAAGAAAACTTCAGGCCAATATCACTGATAAATATAGACGCAAAAATCCTCAACACTAGCAAATCAAATCCAGCAGCACATCAAAAAGTGAATGCAACATGATCAAGCAGGCTTTATCCCTGGGGTGCAAGATTGTTACAACATATGCAAATAAACAAATGTGATTCATCACATAAACAGAGCTAAAAACAAAACCCAATGATCATCTCAATAGATGCAGAAATGACTTTTGATAAAATTCAAAATCCCTTCCCATTAAAAACCCTCACCAAACTAGGCACTGAAGGAACATACCTCAAACAAATAAGAGCTATCTATGAGAAACCCACAGCCAACCTCATAGTGAATAGGCAAAAGCTGGAAGCATTCCCCTCGAGAACCAGAAGACAAGGATGCCCACTCTCACCACTCCTATTCAGCGCAGTACTGGAAGTCCTGACCAAAGCAATCAGGCAAGAGAAAGAAATAAAGTGCATCTAAATAGGAAGAGAGGAAGTTAGACTATCTCTCTTCACAGATGATATGATTCTATATACATAAGACCATTGTTTCTGCTCCTAGAAAAGGTAAACAACTTTAGTAAAGTTTCGGAGTACAAAACCAGTGTAAGAAATCAGTAGCATTTCTATACAATAACGGCAAGCTGAGAACCACATCAAGAATGCAATCTCATTCACAACAGCCACAACAGAAATAAAATACCTACAAATACAGCTAACAAGAGAGGTGAAAGATTTCTACAATGCGATTTACAAAACACTGTTGAAAGAAATCAGAGATGACACCACAAACAAATGAAAAAGCATTCCACGCTCATGGATAGGAAGAAACAATATTGCTAAACCGGCCATATGTCTAAAGCAATGTACAGATTCAATGCTATTTCTATCAAACTACCAATGTCATTTTTCACAGAATTAGAAAAAAAAACTATTCTAAAATTCATATGGAACCAAAAAGAAGCCCAAATAACCAAAGCAATTCTAAGCAAAACAAACAAACAAGCCAGAGACATCACACTACCTGACTTCAAACTATACAAGACTACAGTAACCAAATAGTATTTTGCTGGTAAAAACAAACAAACAAAAAGCAACAACCAAAACAAAACAAAACAAACAAACAAAACAGACTTATAGACCAAAGGAACAGGTTAGAGAATTCAGAAATGAAGTCAGAAACCTACAGTCATCTGATCTTCGACAATGTTAACAAAAACAAGCAATCAGTAAAGGACTCACTATTGTTAAAAGAAAATCCTTAGCCAAATTAAATTTAACATAGTTTAATTGAGCAAAGAATGTTAACGTGAATAGGGCAAACTCTTGAGCCAGAGTAGGCTGAGAGAGACTCCAGGGCAGCCACATGGTTGAATAAGATTTATAGACAGAAAAAGAAAAGTGACATACAGAAAACAGACGTGAGATACAGAAACAGCTAGATTGGTTACAAAAAAATCAGCATCTAACTTATTTGAACATGGTTTGAACAGTTGGCCCCCTTTGATTGAGCAAAACTTGGTGATTGGCACAAGAGTAAGTTACATTCTATTTATACCTCTATTTAGATTATACTTTATTATGTACAGAGAAACTTTTAAGCTGAACTTAAAATATTTAAGGAGGCAGCTTTGGATTAACCTTGATTTAGCACTATTCAATAAATGGTGATGGGATAACTGGCTAGCCATATGCAGAAGATTGAAACCAGACTCCTCCCTTTCACCATATACAAAATCAACTCAAGATGGATTAAACACTTAAACTTAAAACTATAAAAAACCCTGGAAGAAAACCTAGGTAATTCCATTCTGGACAGGGGCATTGGTAAAGATTTCATAACAAAGATACCAAAAGCAATTGGAACAGAAGCAAAAACTGACAAGTGAGAACTAATTGAACTAAAGGGTTTCTGCATAGCTGAATAAATTATCACAGAGTAAACTGACAACCTACAGAATGGGAGAAAATGCAAACTACCCAACAAAGGTCTAATATCCAGAATCTACAAGAAACTTAAACATATCCACAAGCAAAAACCAAATAACCCCATTAAAAAACAGAAAAGGGACATGAACAGACACTTCTTAAAGGAAGACATACAAGTAGCCAACAAACATATGAAAAGACGCTCCACATCACTAATCATCAGAGAAATGCAAATTGAAACCACAATGAGATACCATCTTAAACCAGTCAGAATGGCTATGATTAAAGAGTAAAAAAAATTACAGATGTTGGTGAAGTTGCAGAGAAAAGGGAATGCTTATACACTGTTGGTGGGAATGTAAATTAGTTCATCTACCATAGGAAGCAGTTTGAAGATTTGTCAGATACCTTAAAACAGAACTACCATTCATCCCTGCTATCCCATTACTAGGTATATACTCAAAAGAAATAAATAATTCTACCATAAAGACACATGCATGTGTATGTTCACTGCAGCACTTTTCACAATAGTAAAGACATGTCATGAACCTACATCCCCATCAATGGTGGACTAGATAAAGTAAATGTGGTACATATACACCATGGAATACTATGCAACCATAAAAAATAATGAAATCAGGCCCTATGAAGCAACAGGGTACAGCTGGAGGCCATTATCCTAAGTGCATTAATAGTGGAACACACCACCAAATACGGAATGTTCTCACTTATATGTGGGTGCTAAACTTTGAATTCACATGGACACAAAGAGGGGAACAATAGACACTGAGGCCTACTTGAGGGTGGAGGGATGGAGAAAGATGAGGATTGAAAAACTACCCATCGGATACTATACTTACTACCTGGATGATGAAATCATTTGGACATCAAACTCAAGCAAGACACAATTTACTCATGCAACAAACCGGCAAATGTACTCTCTGAACTTAAAATAAAAGTTTGAAGGAAACAAATAATAAAATAAAATAAAATTCAACATCCCTTCATGAGAAAAAGATTGTCAATAGCTAGGCATAGAAGGAACACACTTTAACATAATAAAGACCACTTATGATAAACCAACAACTAACATCATACTGAATGGAGAAAAGCTGAAAGCTTTTCATCTAGGAACTGTGTCAAGACAAAGATGCCAACTTACACCACTTCTATTCAAAATAGTGAGCTTCAATAGCCAAAGAAATACTGAGGAAAAAGAGCAAAGCTAGAGGCATCACATTATCTGACTTAAACCATATTAAAACTCTATAGTAATCATAACATCATAACATTACTATAGAAACAGTCACATCGACCTAAAAAATAAAATGAAGAAACCAGAAGTAAATCTACGTTTTTACAGCCAACCTATTTTTGACAACAGTTCCAAGAACATACATTGATAAACTTTTTCAATAAATGCTGCTGAAAAAATTGAATATGAATAGGCAGAAGAATAAAACCAAATCCCTATACAGAAAACAAACCCCTATATACCTTCTCACTATATACAAAAAATCATCTCAGGATAAATTAAATACTTCAATATAAAACCTGAAACTATAAAACTATTAGAAGAAAACCTAAGGAAAACACTTCAGAACATTGGTCTTAGCAAAGATTTTTATGACTAAGACCTCTCAAGCACAAGCAACACAAACAAAAGTAGACAAATGGGACTTTATTAAACTAAAAAGCTGCACAGCAAAGGAAACAATCAACAGTGAGGAGACAACCTATTGAATAGGATAAACTATTTGCAAACTATTGATCTGACAAAGGCAAATATCTATAATATACAAGGAACTCAAACAACTCGGCAGAATAAAATACATAATACCATTATAAAGTGGGAAAAATACATGAATAGTCATTTCTCAAAAGGATACACACAAATGTCCAACATATGAAAAAAATGTTCAACATTACTAATCATCAGCAAAATGCAAATAAATCAAAACCACAATGAGATATCTTTGTACTCCAGTTAGAATGACTATTATTGAAAGACAAAAAGTAACAGATACTGGCAAGATACAGAGAAAAGGGATTTTTTACACTCTTATACTGTTGGTGAGAATGTGAATTATTACAGCCACTATGGAGAATAGTATGGAGATTTGTAAAAAAACTAAAACTACAACTATTATGATTCAGCCATCCTACTACTGGATATTTACTCAAAGTAAAAGGAATTAGTATATCAAAAGAGACTTGATTTCTATGTTTAGTGCAGCACTATTCACAGCAGAAATGATTTGGAATCAACCCAAGTGTCAGCCAATGGACAGATGGATAGAGAAGATGCAGTATGTACATGTAAGGAAAACTATTCAGCCATAAAAGAATGTAATCATGTATTTTTCTGCAATATGAATCAAAATTGAGGCCATTATGTTCATTGAATTAAGACAAATGTTTTATCTTTTTATTCATGGTTGGAAGTTTTAAAAGTTAATCTCATGGAGGTATAGAGTAGAATGATGGATAGCAGAGACAGAGAAGGGTGTGGGAATGGGGATGAGGGATAAAGAGAGTCTGGTTAATGGGTACAAACATATAGGAGGAATAAGTTCCAATGTTTGATAGCAAAGTAGGGTAATTATATTTAACAACAATGCATTGAATATTTCAGAATACCTAGAAGAGAGGACTTGAAATGTTCCCAACATACAGAAATGATAAATACTCGAGGTAATGTGTACTCTAAATAATCTGACTTGATAATTACACATTCTGAATGCAACAAAATATTGCATGTACCCCATAAATACATACAGATATTATGTATCAAAAAATAAAAAAGAAGAAATAGAAAACCACAATAAATTTATTACAAGTAAAGATGTTGAAATAGTAGTAATGATAATAAATTCTCAGAAAGAAAAGTTCAGGTCCAGATGGATTCACTTGTGAATTCTACCAAATATTTAAAGAAATATTAGCATCATTCTTTACAAAAATTTTCAAAAGATGGAAATGGAGGGAACACTTCTCACCTTATGAGGACACGTTACCCTGGTACAAACCTAAACTAAGATATCACAGGAAGAAAAACTACAGATTGAAATCCTTAATGAATATGGAGACAAAAAATCCTCAACACAATATCAACGAACTTAAGTAGTAAAAATATAAAAATATATATTATGATTAATTGGGATTTATCTTTTGAATGCAAGGTTGGTTCAACCAATGAAAATTAATTGATGTCACATAATGCATATATATAATTAAATAACACACGATTGTCACAATAGACCAACACTTGACAAAGCACATCTTATTTTTTTAATCATAAGAACAATAACAAGCTAAAAATGGAAGAGAAATTTTTCAACCCAAGAAAGAGCATGTTTGAAAAATCTATTAACTAATGTACTTAATGATGAAAGACATAAAGCTTTCCCCATGGTGAAAGACATAAAGCTTTCCCCATAAAACTAGAAACAAGGCAAGAAGGTTGGCTTCCACCATTTCTAATAAACATTGTACTGGCAGTAAGGACAGTTAGGGAAGAAAAAGAGATAAAGGCATGCAGATGAAAAATAAAGAAGTAAATCAGTCCCTATTTGTAGATGACATGTTTTGGATAGAGAAAATATTATAAAATCTATTAAAATATATTATTACAAGTAATAAATGAGTTAAAAATTTTGCAGTGTACAAGATGAATGTACAAAAATCAATTACAACACAAATTTTGAAAACTATAATAATTGAAAGTAGTCAGTTATAGCAAAAACCAAATACTAAATGAAATTTACATAAATGCAACTAATAGGCAAATCCATAATAACTGAAAGTGGTTGTAAGGGATGGGGGCAAGGAAGTGATTACTGAAGGTATAGAATTTCTATATGGGGCTAGGAAGACATTCTAAAATTAGGAAGTGGTAATGACTGTACAACTCTATGAAGATACTAAAAACAACTGAAGAGTAAACTGAAAATAATGACTTTTATGGCATGTGAATTACATCTCAATGAGTATGCTCTTAATAAGACAATTTTGTGAATGATATAATGTATTATAATAAACACAAATATATCAAGCTATTTTCATAGAAAAGTAATGCTTTAAACTTAAATACTTTTCAGTCTTAAATTTGCACTTGTTATCTAACTATGCATTTGAATATGTTTATATTTAGAAAACTTTGATGGATAAGGATTATTTTACTGTATATTTTTATTTGAGCAAGTTTTGTTTCTTCCCAGAAATTGTCATTTACTGTAATATTCTAATAGTTATATACATGACTGACATAAAAAATGTGTTTCTACATCTTTAAATTACTATTATATGACTATCACGTTATCCACTCTGAGAAAGTACAGGAATCTTGAATTAAAATGAATCTAAGAGTATTGAGAGCTTTGGAAAATGTCAAGTTGTTTTCAAGTAATGTATTTCTTACTAAACTAGTGTTTTTCTATTTCCTACACTGCTATGGAGCTTAGGAAACTCACTGATGCTTTGCAAGGTAAAATAAATAGATGAATAAAATAAGGGATATTGACTTCAACTTTTAGTTAGATATTTTCAAAAACTCTATCCTTATCTCTATATCTCTATCTCTATTGCTATCGAAACACAAACATACACACATATACATCTATAAATACAATCATCTATAAAAATATTTTTTCTACTATTTATAAAGACCCGTGTTTTATAGTTCTCAGTAAAGTGAAAGAGGATAATGCTTGGAAAAATGCTTGACATTTGTGAAAAGTCCAAATTCTTGTCAAACATAAACAAATCTGGACTTAATATGCAGAGACTTTTTCAAAAAGACCATTGCAATATATAGATGCGTATGTTAATTGGCTCGATTTAATCATCCCACAATGCAGGCATAAATCAAGCATCACAGTATAAATATATGCAATTATTATTCATCAAGTAAAAATAAAATAAATATAAAAGTATGTTTTAACAAAAGATCATTGCAATAGGGAGAATGCTCTGACCTCACGATCTGCAGGCATCTTTAAATCAAAAAGAAAAAGATTCGTGTTAAACAGGGAGAAGAGAGTCAGACTAGCAGGTATACTGTGGAATGCAGGAAAAGCAGGTGGCCTGGGCAGGTGGCAAAATCAGATCTTTTCAACAGGAAATGTATTTCTCCATAATGGCTTATTCTCAGAATAAGCTGTTAACTGGGAATGTTTTACACCTTAGTACATTTAAAATGATTATTTGTATTATGCTTTTAGTTTAATAGAACTACAAATGTTACCATTACAGGGGAAGGGAAAGGCTTTGACGTATGCATTTCTAAATAACCTAGGGGATTTACTAAGCATAGTAGATGAGCAGTGTCACAGTTGATCAAGTAGTTTAAAATGTAGAAAATTAAGTATTAGGAAGGTACATGAAGCTATATGATATTTCTTTTGCCTTTATAATTTTTATTTTTTGAGACAGAGTCTCACTCTGTTCCCCAGGCTGGAGTGCAGTGGTGCCATCTCAGCTCACTGCAACATCTGCCCCCTGGATTCAAGCGATTCTCTTGCCTCAGCCTCCTGAGTAGCTGAGATTACAGGTGCCCACCACCACGCCCGGCTAATTTTTGTATTTTTAGTAGGGATGGGGTTTTACTATGTTGGCCAGGCTTGTCTCAAACTTCTGACCTCAGGTGATCCACCTGCCTTGGCCCCCCAAAATGCTAGGATTACAGGCATGAGCCACCGCGCCCGGCCTGCCTTAATAATTTTTAAGTTTTAAAAATTATGGTAGAAACAATGTATTCTTAAGGTTAGAAACCTAGCTCAGTTACGTGTGGTTTATGTTTTCTGGATTAATCTGGATTTTTATAATTAGAAAATATAAGATTTTGAGCCCACTAATGCTTTGTTAAAAACAATACAAGTCAATGTAATAGAAGCATTCATATGTGCAACATCATAAGACAAAACAGCAAGACCTTAGTGCTTTTCTAAGCTTGTTGAAATCCAAAGCCGATTGCCTCTAAGGTTAGAAGCCTGACTGTATTTGTTCAAGCCCAGTAAGTGGGTAAGTGGTTGGCTACTGTGATCGCTTGATCATGGTCAAACGTGTTAAAGAGTTAATTATGAAAGACAGACAGAAAAATGAGAGTAGATATCAAGTATGCAGTCTATAGTTACATTTATGAAATTGCACAAAAAATGATCCACATCTCCCTAGATGTTCCGCAAAATTTATGAGATTTTGCTGTGGTTTATCTTCCTACGTCTAATATTTAAATTATCTCTCTGTTTCATCATTGACATATACAATTTATCTGTTAGGCAGACATTATTACACTTCCTAAGAATGCAAGCTTGGAAGTCAGACAGGTCTGGCATTCCAGCTTTGTTCTGTTCAGTAAAAGTTGTGAAAACTTTAGATAAATAAGCTCAGAGTCTAAGACACTAATATAATTTTTAAATGATTTAAAGGTATCTTCCGCATGGCATTAAAAAGCTAATTGCTAAAAATAGGCCAGGTGTGGTGGCTAATGCCTGTAATCCCAGCACTTCAGGAGGCTGAGTTGGGTGGATCACTTGAGGTCAGGAGTTCGAGACACCGGTCAACATGGTAAAACCCCACCTCTACTAAAAGTACAAAAATTAGCTGGGTGTGGTGGCGGCACCTGTAATCCCAGCTACTCAGGAGGCTGAGTCAGGAGAATTTCTTGAACCTGGGAGACAGAGATTGCAGTGAGCCGAGGTCACACCACTACACTCCAGCCTGAACAATAAAGCAAGACTCTGTCTCAAAAAAATAAAAAAGATAGTAGCTAAAAACAAGAGAGTGGGCCTGAGAGAGACAGACAGACAAATAGAGTGATAGAAATTATAGCTTATTCTGCCTTTGCTCAAAATCAGTCAGTCCTTATCAAATCAAAGATTACACTTACTTAGAATGCCATTGTCAAATAGGGAATTGTCACAGTATGGGATGAATCTAACTTCGAAGAGCCTTTTATTTTTTATCTTTTTTAGAAAATGTATTTATATTAATATCTTGAAAAATGTGTCCAAATATTTTTGATAATTATTTTGTAAAACAAGGACAAACTTGATATTGCCTCAAATTTGGCAATTAATATTCTAGTTTAAAAATCTATATTTATTATTCATAACATGACAAACATACATTTTTAAGAGCTTTTTATCTACCTAGTAGACAACATCTTTTGTTATTTTTTATTTTACCTACTTATATTACTGTATTAAAGTTTTAATACTGTCATGTCACAAATTCATTAAATTATTAAGTGAAAAGATTAATGTTTGCCACTTACGGCAAAATTATGTCTATGTATAAACTATGGCTCAAATATGTTTCTCAATCTATTTTTCTTCTTTATTTGTTAATGAGATTTGGAGACTTATACACATTTTTAATAAAGTTATTCAAATTATAGAAACTAGTCGTTTTTATTTTATCTTTACTACTACTGAGTATAAACTATCCCAGCTACATAAGTCTGCTAAATATTTAATATTATTTGTCTTTCTCTTACTAAATGTTATGTTTTTTATTATGTAAATTCAAAATTATTTAATTGACAGAAGTTGATGAATACATAATTTTTCATTATTTATTAAGTATGGAAAAAATATTCCCTTTCAAATTTATACTTTCTGTCTCCTACATCAAACATTATATTCTTAAATATTAATACTATATTTTAGTTTACATTGTCTTTTGTTAAATTGTTGCTGCACTGCCTCAAGTGCTGTAACTTTAGTTATTACAAGTTAGTTGTTCACTACAAGTTAATAACTAATAACGTCTATAACTAATAAGTTATAGACGTTATTAGTTTCATTTATATTTAACTAAGTTATATAAGTTATTAGTTATTACAAGTTATTTAATATCTCTAAACTCCAGTTTTGTCATCTGAACATTTTTGGTTATAATGGCTTTCACAGAGAACAAGAAATAATTTTCAAAATATAAGTGATAATGTAAGTGAAGGCACTAGCATAAAATTTATATTAATAGCATACTGAGCACGGTTTTTCTTCACCTTTTTCTTTTTTAAAAATTTGACAAATAACATTTCATATGCTTATTAGGTAAAACATTATGTTTCCAGGTACATGCACATTGTGGAATGGTTACCTCTAACTAAATAATGAATGCATTACCCACAGTTAACATTTTTGTAGTGAGAGCACTCAGCATCCACTCTGCATTTTTAAAGAATACAATATATATCCATTAACTATAGTCACCCTACTGAGCAATAGCTCTCTTGAATTTATTTCTCCTAACTGAAATTATGTTTTTCATTGGCCAATCTCTCTTCATCTGCTCCTGGCAACCACTATTCTGCTTTCTATTTTTAGGCGATCGACTTTTATAGATTCCACATGTGAATGAGATCATATGACATTTGTCTTTTTGTTTTTTATTGGCCTGGTTTATTTCATTTAACATAATGTCCTCAAGGTTCATCCATGTTGTTGCAAAAGACAGATTATTCTTCTTTCTAAATGGCTATATAGTATTTCATTTTCTATGTATCCTACATTTTAGCTGATAAATATTTAGGTTGATTCCATATCTTGGATACTGCAAAAAGTTCTGCAATAAACATGGGAGTGCAGATATCTCTTTGAAATACTGGTTTTATTTCCTTTGGATATATACCCAGAGGTGGGATATGATATGTATCACATGTTAGTTCTATTTCTAATTTTTTGAGGAACTTCCATATTGTTTTCAATAGTACCTGCACAAATGTACATTCCTACGAGCACTGTGTGTTACCTTATCCCTACATCCTTCTCATCTGCACTTGCTATCTTTTGTCTTTCTGATAATAGCCATTCTAACTGGAATGAGGTGATATCCCACTGTCGTTTTGATTTGCATTTTCCTGATGTTAGTGACACTGAGCATGTTTTCATATACCTGTTGACCATTTGCATGTATTTGTATGTCTTCTTTTGAAAAAAATATCTATTAAGGTCTTTTCACAGCCATCTGAATTTCAACAAGTATGTTAAGAACACACACTGAGGAAAGAACACCTTCTTCAAAGTGGTTTTAGAGAAAAATAGACATTCACATTCAGAATAATGAAATAAGTCCCTTATACTTACCATACTTATCATATCTAAAACTCAACTCAAAATGAATCAAAGACTTAAATATAAGACCAGAAACTATAAAACTACAAGAAAAAAAGATAGGAGAAAGGCTCCATGACATTTGTTTGAGCAAGGATTTTCTGGATAAGACCTCAAAAGCGTAAGCAAAAAATAGACAAATGGGATTACATCAAACCAAAAAGCTTCTGCACAGAAGAAGAAACAACTAACAGAGTGAAGAGACAATCTGTAAAATGAGCAAAATCTGGAAGCTATACATCTGATAAAGGGTTAATAATCAATCAACTCAAATAACTCAAGAATAATAAAACAAACAACCTGATTTTTAAAATAAGCAAATCATATGTCTTTTCCTTCACCTTCACAATGAATTCCTTAAGGCTTTACATCTAGTCAGCACAAATTAACTCTACCTTAAATAAAAATCCTGATAATTTCTTGTTCTGTATTAGCAGTTGTACTGCAAAGTATATTTATAATGGATTAATTAATTTGATATATAGTCATTGTCTGCTATGCCACCACTCTTAGGTCTCAGCATAAGGGTAAGTAGAGGGGACAGAAAAGGAAAAATGGAGACAATATTTTTCTTTAACAGCTTTTCTGTTTTGTGTGACAACTTAACATTAAATTCAATAATTTAACATTAAATACAAATAATCATTCAAGTAACATTTTTGACTACATGTTAGAGAAAAATCGTTCTTAGCTTCTAAGTAGCAGATGCCAGAAGCATAACCCCCACTTTGTTACAGCCCATACTATCTCCAGATATAGTTAAATGTCTTCTAAAGTAACAAACCCTCCCCAACAACCCTGTTGAGAACCAGTATGAAAATGCAAAACATCTGGACTATGATGGAAAGTTCCAATCATAAAGATGAATACTGAAAAGTGGTTTTATTCAGGAAAATAACATGTTTAAATAGTTTTCAAAGTCTGTGATTATTCACAATAAAAAAAATTCTTCACTGGAAGTTACACAGGTTACATACATATACATATTACTAGCATTGTCAATCTTTTAAAATTTAACTTCACAAGTGAAGCCACTGACGTTCAAAGATTAACAATGCTAACTGTTGCAGAGGACACAGAGCCACTAGATTTCTTATACATTGCTGGTGAGGGTGTTAAGTAGTGCAGACACTTTGGAAAACAATGGCTAGTATTTTCATGAGACTTTTTTTTTTTTTTTTTTTTTTTGCTTTTTAACAGGTTAACTTTTGAAGTGTGCTGTTTTGAGACCAAAAAAAGCAATACATACACAACATTGTGCTATTTTAAATTTATGTCTTAAAAATACCGTGACTGTTGATTTGTGCATACACATACACACACACAAACACAAACAGAAACACATACACCCATGGAGTATGGAAGAGAGAAAGAGAGAGAGAGAGACCCCAAAAGAGCCATTTAAAGATGTTGCAGAGAAATTTACACTGTCATCTCTTATTTTATGTATGTTCAAAGCTGATAAATATCTGTAAATACACACATGAGCATACACATACAGACATACAGTTATATAATGTATATATTATACATGTATGTGTATGTAAAAACATTCATATATAATGTATATGTATATATCATATGTGTATATATAGATATACATGTGTCTGTGCATGTGATTGGGAGATAGAGATGGAGAGAGATTTCTTACTGCTTGTATTTTCTCATATAAGTAAAACATGTGAATATATAGTAAGCATAATAACTAAAGCATATATTCAAGAACCAGATACTCTAGGTTAAAACCCCAGTTCTTGTCTTCTTTCAAAATAAAGGGCAGATATGCAAACTGCCTTGAAACATTAGAGATATTGTCTCCTGCAGGAGCAAAGGGCAAAGATACTTACTCCGTATAATATTTGGGTTGCCTAAGCATAGGGTTCATCTCCTGTTATACAAACCATGCATGTGCAGCATCCATGTTGGCCCATACATGTTTCGCCCACTGGACTCACAGGCAAGAGGAATTTTAAAACACCCACTGAGTTTTACATGGCATGCTCTGCCATAAGTAAACTTCTTTGTCTCTGACCCAGAAGTGTAATGTCTTTTACTGACATTATAAAACTGTTAGACTAACTTATTAGCTTGCAAGCAGGCTAAAGTATCAGACCCTTCACAGTTCTTGACACACACTAGCTCTGTGAAATGGGACACTATTTGCTTCCTAGGGCTACTATTAACAAAGTACCATAAACGGAATTGCTTTAAAAAATAGAAATTTATTTTCTCATTGTTCTGGAGGTTAGAATTCTGAAACCCAGGTGTCCATAAGGAAATATTTGCTCTGAGATTCTGAGTAGAATCTTTCCCCAGCTCTTCCTAGCTTCTGGTATGGCCATGAATCTTTGCCATTTCTTGGCTTGCAGCAGCATCAATCCAATTTCTATCTCTGCATCAAATTGCATTCTCCCCATGTAGCTCTGTTCAAATCCCCCTCTTCATATAAGGATATCAGTCATATTGAATTAAGGCCCACCTACTTCAAGGTGACCTCATTATAACTGAGTGAATTGCATCTGCAATGACTCTATTTCCAAATAAGTCTACATTCTGAGGTACTGGGTGTGAGGGCTTCAACATATCTTTTTGGTGGACACAATTCAACCAAATACAAGTACATTATACAAGCTGTCAGTACCTTAGGTGTCTTATCCTTAAAGTGGAAATAATTACCAACATCACAGGACTAAATAGATTATTTTAAGTAAAATTCTTGGGTGAGCATCTATGTTACCTGTTATAATATTGCTGTTAGTATCATATACACATATGCATTTATATATCTAATGGAAACATTATCAATCTGTCCTTCAGTGAGGACAGAGATAGTGAAGGCTCTAATTTCAGATGTAATTAACTATTAAACATATATCGTAATCAATACTGAATTTACAATTTGTACTTTTGTGTTGATGCAACATGTGCATTTTAACTTAGTTATGTTTAAACTGTGCATATATAAAGTAAAACTCTTGTATTTAACAATCTAAAGAGATACCAGAGATTTTGAATAAAAACATATTACAGAATTGGATAGGAACTCTGAGAGCTTTAGAAAATGTCAAGTTGTTATGCATTGATTAAAAATTGTTGATGTGGCTCTTGACAAAACACATATAGTAGTGCTTGTTAAACCTGATAGAATACGTAACGAAACTTAATAACGATTACCTATTTGTGAGCTGATTTTAACAACAAGCAAGAATATTATAAAGAAAACACTTAGCATCTAAATTCCAAATAGTACATGTTTTCTAATTCATCACCACTGTAATACTTGTGTCTCCTGTCCCAGGTATCACATTTTGATACACTTTCTCCTGTCCCAGGTCTCACATTTTGATACACTTCAACCATAAATCGGCCTGCTATTCTGGTAAGAAGAACCTCTACTCTTCCTAAAGAGAGCCTTTCCTAACAGAATTTATATGTTGCCCTCTGTACTCCATAAATGTTTTTCCTAACTGCTACCATGTCTCAAGCGTTTCACTTGGGTTTTAGATCATATCATTATTGCATACATTAAATCACTGTCCCCTATATTGAAGGTGATTATCAGTCACACATGCCTCAAAACTGAAATATCAAGACATCAAAAATGGAAACAATCATTCACTCACATCCCCAGGAGAAATAATTATCTATATGAAGTTGACATTTATAACCTGTATATTTTGAAAGGTTGAAATTGTAATGCAAATAACCATTTTTCATGATTCAAGTAAGCTAAAGAAAAAAAATTAATGGTTTCTGACTGTGATATTATTTTACCAGATAAAATTGTGTAAAGAAAATGTTTACCTAATATGGATAATATATTTCATCAATATGTGGACAATTACTGACATTCAGGTTCAATTTATTCAGGTGCCTTTCTTTAATGGCACTAGAAAGGCTATTTTAACAAATGGATTTAGATAATAAGATTTAAACCTGCACTGAGAATAGATATTCAACTTACTAAGCAGTTGTTTAAGATGGATGAATATGTCAAAGCATAGGTAATCCAAATTCTAAGCAAAACACTGTTTTAAATCACTGGTGTAAAGTTCAAGTTCAAATGCTCCGCTTCATGAATCTGTCTCTAGTCCTCTTTCAGGACACTGGTCCTTATTTGCCTTTGACTGTCTGAATCATATGCCAATCCAGATGCCTCAGTAACCTATGTTTAGGTTAATTCATGATGTATTATAGATAATACATTTACATAGAGATGAGTACATTAACTATGATTCAGCCTACAGGTTTGTCAAACTTTTAATGTTCACAGTCTGATTACAATATTTTATAGACCAATCTTATTTTTTTGAACTATTATAGCCATTTATCAATTGCTTCAATTCAAGCAACTGCTGTAGCTACCTATGAATGTGTTACATTTCCCTTCAGTTTTTTGAGACAGTTGCATTCCATGCCATAAAAGAAGAACTTAACGAGAGAAGAACAGAAATTGAGATAAAATATTAAAGAATCTTTCCACATTATCAAATGAAGTAAAATAAAATTTTTCTGCAAGACAATTCCTTTCACAGTATGAAAATGACCTTAAACATAGCTGTAGAGATTAAGGTCCAAATATTTATTTGATTATTTTGGCATATTGATATTTCTAGCTTTGTGTACCTCACAAATATTTATAAACACATTTACATTGCAGAATTTTTTACTGAAGCATATACTTAAAACTGGGCCTATATGTGTCACTTTTTTGAAAACAAAAAAAAGCGGGGGGTGGAGAAAACATTCAGATATAAGGTCGGAAAGCAAAATGGGAAAATAATTCTGTTTCATAATTGCCACACTATTTGGATTATCATTGTTTCTAGATTTATATGTGAAAGTTAAAACATTCAACAGTAGGCTGGGACTGGTGGCTCATACCTGTGATTCCGTCACTTTGGGAGGCCTAGGCGGGAGGATTGCTTGAGCCCAGGAATTTGAGACCAGCATGGGCAACATAGTCAGACCTCATCTCTACAGAAAATTAAAAATGAAATTAGCTGCATGTGTGGCACAAGCCTGTAGACCCACTACTTGGGAGGCTGAGGTGGGAGGATGTATTGAGCCCGGAAGTTTGAGGCTGCAGAGAGCTATGATCATGTCACTGCAATCCATCCTGAGCGATAGAGCAAGACCCTGTCTCGAAAAACAAACACACAAACAAAAAAACCAAAAAGATATTCAACAATAAAGGTAAAATTTCAACACTGGAATAATGATATTTGGAAAGATTTGAAATATTTGAAAACATATAAATCACAACAGGATGTTTTCTGTTGTGATTTTCGTTCTTGAGAAACCTGAGGTACCTTTGAACGGAATGCTGTAAACTCTCCATCATGCTCCAGATTACTTTTTTTCATCTTAGTAACTAAGTATGTGGCAAATACATTCCAGGGAAAAAAGTAATGAAGAGAAAAACTGCAATAATTAATATTTTTGCAAATATATATGCATGGTTTTTGAGGGGATTCCCAAACTAAGAGTACAGAATATCAGAATATAATCTTGAACTGCATTTGAAGTGCATTGTGCTATTTTGACATCTAATTTTGGCTTTAATCCTTTAATGATTTGTCTAGTAAGACCATGCATCAAGTGCTGGTTTCTGATGGAAAATATAAAAATAATAGGAAAATCTTGACATAATGTAAAGGAATTAATTCAAAGACACCACGAGATAGAAATGCTATCTTATACATATACACCATGGAATACTATGCAGCCATAAAAATGAATGAGATCATGTCTTTTGCAGGGACACTGATGAAGCTGGAAGCCCTTAGCAAACTGATGCAGGAACAGAAAATCAAACACATGTTCTCACTTATAAGTGGGAGCTGAGCAATGAGTACACATGGACACAGGGAGGGAAACGACACACACTGGGGCCTTTTATGGGGGTGGGAACAGGAGAGAGAGAACATTAAGAAAAATAGCTAGTGCATTCTGGGCTTAATACCTAGTTGATCGGCTAATAGCTGCAGCAAACCACCATGGAAATTTACCTACGTAACAAACCTGCACATCCTGCATATGTACCCTGAAACTTGAAATAAAAATGAAAAAAAAAATGCTACCTTACCTCTATCTTACTTTACTGAACAAGGTCCAAAGTTCATGACCATGAAATTAATTGATTATAATGGCACAGGAATCTTCAAACAAACAAACACTTATTTTTAGTACATGGGGAATTATGACATAAAGAAGTAAAATGGAAATAATATCCATATTCTCAATGGGATTGAAAGGGGTCAAGTTTAGCTAAATAGTGCTAGTACTTATGGCAAGAAATAAAGTCATTAAAATAGACAGCAATCATGGCATGTAATTTGATTTTAGTGAGTAGCCTTAAAACACAGATCTTTTCCACTATAGATAACTAATCATGTAGTTCCAAGAAACAAAATTTGTAGACAGCCTGACAATGTCTTACTTGAATTGCATAAGCAAAAATAAATCAGAATAATTATCAGTGGTAGACTGAAAATTTTTACTTGTATAACAAGTTCTTTTTACCTTATAAGTTGATGTTCCGACTTACATACAGTGATCAAGACTTAAATAACCTGAGAGCAGTCACCAAGCCCTCTACCATAATGAGACCTCAATTAAATTATGCTATGCAACTTTGCCTAGGCAGGAGATGGTAATTTATTTTTCTTTTTAACTTACTTTCATTAAGCCAGCTAGGAGTAAAGAAATATCTCCAGGTAAATATTAAAAATAAATGCAGATGTACTAAATAAATAATTTTGGTAGTTTTATAACTATTTGAGGTGTAGCCTTAGTAATAATTTTAAACAGTGTTAATATTTATGTTGCATTTACATTGCAACATAAAACTTTAGAAATATCATTCAAATGTATGAATTAATATTATTTAATTTTAATGTAAGTTAAGAAAATTATATCAAATTTTGGTCAACACTGAAATATTTAAACATTTTCTTTAACAGATTTTTGAATTGAATAAAATTATCTTTTGGCTGGTTGCAGTGGCTCATGCCTGTAATCCCAGCACTTTGGGAGGCTGAGGTGGGAGGATCACCTGAGATCAGGAGTGCGAGAACAGCCTAGCCAATATGGCAAAACCCTGTCTCTACTAAAAATACAAATATTAGCTGGGCATGATGGCGCACACCTGTAATCGCACCTACTCAGGAGGCTGAGGCAGGAGAATCACTTGAACTCAGGAGGTGGAGATTGCAGTGAGCCCAGATTGCACCACTGCACTGCAGCCTGAACAACAGAGAGAGACTCCATCTCAAAAAATAATAATAAAATAAAAATTAAAATAAAATTATCCTTAAAATTAAAACACCTGTGGATAATCTCTCCAGGAACAAAAATTGTGTATCATTGAAATACAAGAGAACCCTCTGAACCTTCCCCTAGTATTCAACTCAGGTGCATAAAGAAATATTTTGTTGCTACGCTGTGTCCAGACAAATGGAAATGGAAAAACATCATGGAGTACTGTGCAGTTCAATCAAGCTAATGATTTCTGGACAGTTAAAATTACAGTCTCTCATTCAGACTAGAGAAGATACAGAATCATATGAAAACATGAATTTGGATCAAATTTAACTTTAGCTTATATCAAATAAATCCCTGAAATGATCCAAAGTTATTTAGAAAGAATTTGGTTTTATATTTGTCATGCACATGTTTAACAATGGATCTAATTCTCACATTAGTTTGGAGTATTCAAAAGCAATACTGATTCTCCAGAGAAATCTCATTAATCAGTGTCATCATAAAAAATAAGTGAGAATTGTGTGGGTTGATTTCTACTCCATCTCCTTTCAATTACCAGTTTGGCAAGTGTGAAAAACTGATGGGTTTTAGAAAATGAATCCAGATTATAATAACTTAATCAAGTAGAGACTCTAATGTTGACTGCTCTTTTAGAGGTTATTGCTCTTTTAGAGTAAAGCAGTATCTTCAGAATGTAGTACACATGTGACTATAAAAGATTTTCCAATTTTATTTCCATTCCTTTCTGAAAAAATTATAACGATATTTTGCAGAAGATTAACCCATCCTAAATTTGATATTGTCTGTGTCATGATGTAGAGACTAATAATTTAATTACTTCATTTCAAATGAGAATAGTCACTTGCTGCAACACAGATTTTCCAATATAAAACTGTCTTTTTAAAAATTCAGCTTATATTGGTATACAGTATTATCACATGATGTTTCATATTTTGAAAATTTATAGTTTTTACATTTTAGTCTTTTGTGTGTGGTTTATTTTTTGATCATATGTACTATATATTTGAATATTTTATTAACATTATTAAACTAGATTATTCATTTATGTATTAATTCAAATATATTTGCTGATTACCTGCTATATCAGTCACATTTTTTATTTTAGAGTTACATGGGTTTGACACATGTAGCTTAAATTCTTAAGAGAATAAAATAAAAGGGGAAAAATAGGGGCTGGTTATGGTGGCTCACGCCTGTATTCCTAGTACTTTGGGAGGCTGAGATACAAAGATCACTTGAGGCCAGGAATTTGAGAGCAGCCTGGGCAACATACTGACACCATATCTCTACAAAAAATTAAAACTGTTAGGTGGGCATGGTGGCCCACGCTTGTAGTCCCAGCTACTTGGGCCCAACTACTTGAGAGACTGAATTGGGAGGATTGTTTTAGTCGAGGAGTTCAAGGTTGCAGTGAGCTGTAGTTGAACCACTGTATTCCAGCCTTGGTGACACAGCAGGGCCCTATCTCAAAAAAAAAAAAAAAAAGAGAGAGAGAGGGAAAAGTAAACAGTACAATTTCAAGTAACAGTGCTATGGAGAAAAACAAATCAAAATAAATGGCAAGTAAGGGATGTCTGGAGAAGGCCATGTGTTTCTAACAAAAAACATAGTATGTTCTTTGAGAAAGTGATGTTTAAAAATTAATCTGTGCATATCTATGGGGAAAGCACTTCATGATAATTGGCAGCAAGCACAAAAACTTTGAGGTGAAAGTAAGTTTGGCATTTTCTTTGTGTGTGTGCATGTGTGTGTGTGTGTGTGTGTGTGTGTTTATTGAAGTAAACCAGTCACCAATCATAGTGGACTGGCCTAGGGCACCAATTGAGAACTGAAAACATTGAAGGTAACTAGTAGAGAGAATCAACAACCTTTACTGTACCAAGAGGAGAAAAAAAATAGTGTGTTCACATTTATAACATATAATGTTATAAAGACCTTGCTAAAGTCTTTAAAGTACCTACTGACCTTGGTTTATATAGGCATTTTCAAGGAAGAAATAGAAGTAGCACATCTATGGTGACTAGCATAGAGAAGAGATCCTTATGACGAAGAAGACTCTAGCAATAACTTTGGCAGGTGTTTGCTTGTTTGTTTTGTTTTGTTTTTGTTGTTGTTGGTTGGTTTTTTGTTTTTTTGTTTGTTTTTTTGAGATGGAGTCTCGCTCTGTTGCCCAGACTGGAGTGCAATGGCACAATCTCAGCTCACTGCAACCTCCACCTCCCGGGTTCAAGGGATTCTCCTGCCACAGCCTCCCAGGTAGCTGGGACTACAGGTGCGTGCCACCACGGCTGGCTACTTTTTTGTATTTCTGGTAGAGACGGGGTTTTACTGTGTTAGCCAAGGTGGTCTCAATCTCCTGACCTCGTGATCCTCCCACCTCAGCCTCCCAAAGTGCTGGGATTACAGGTGTGAGCCACTGTGCCCAGCCTGGCAGGTTTTTTTAAAGGAATATTTGTGTTTGTGTGCGTTTGTGTGTGGTTTCACAAAGCATTAATCTAACATTACAAGGAGCCACTGAAGGATCTAGATCAAGACAGTGACATGATATGCACAACATAACATCACACAAGTTGTTTTGGAGAATAGACTTTATAACGAAGGTAAAGTCACAACAGTAAATGAGTGTTAACAGAAATGTAGATAAAAGGTAAAGAGATTGGTTAGGGTCAGGGATGTTGACGTCTTGGGAATGGGTTTGGTACTGGAGGGGGTGATGCAGCAGTTAAAGAAATATTTTTAATAGAGCCGATCACTAGCTAATGAGATGTGAGTTGTGAGGTGAAAAAAAATAAAGGATAACTTCAAAGTTTTAAAATTGAGTTTGAAAAAATGGCTAATATTGTTGAATACTTTTTATGTGCATGTTAGCCAAACACATACACTCTTCTGCAAAATGCTGTGTTTGTCTTCAGCCCATTTTCTGATTTGTTATTAATTTAATGTTAAGATGTGAGAGCTCTTTAAACAGTTTAAATACTAGTCCTTTGTCCTGTATGTGGTTTTCAAATTACACTTCTATTCTGTGACTTGCATTTTCATCTTTTGCAGAGGCTCTTTTGTGGAAGAAATGTTTTTATTTTTATAAGATCTAGCTTATTTATTTTATGAATCATGATATTGTTGTCAAGTCTAGGGATATAATCACATTGTAATCTCATTTACAATAGATACAAATAAAATAAATACCTAGGAATTAACCAAAGATGTGAACAATCTTTACAATGAAAACTATAAAACACTGATGAAAGAAATTGAACAGGACAAAAAAAAAGATATTCCATGTTTATGGGTTGGAAGAAATGTTCATACTACCTAAAGTAATCTACAGATTCAATGCAATCCCTATCAAAATACCAATGACATTCTTTACATAAATGAAAAAAAAATCCTAAAATTTATATGGACCTACAAAATACCAAAATAGCCAAGGCTATCCTAAGTAAGCAAAACAAAACTTGCAGTCATATTACATGACTTCAAATTATGCTATAAAGCTATAATAACCAAAACAGCATTGCACTGGCATAAAAATAGACACATAGACAAATGGAACAGAATAAATAACCCAGAAACAAATCTATGTATCTACTGTAAAGTCATTTTTGACAAAAGTGCCAACAACGTACATTTGGGAAAAGACTCTTTCTTCAATAAATAGTGCTGAGGAAAGTAAATATATGCAGAAGAATAAAACTAGGCCCCTATCTCTTGCCATATGCAATAATTAATTCAAAAATGGACTAAGTACTTAAATCTAAGACCTCAAACTCTAAAACTACTAAAGTAAAACTTGGGGCAAACTCTCCAGAACATTGGACTGTGCAAAGATTTCTTGAGTAGTACTGCACAAGCACGGGCATTCAAAGCAAAGATGAATAAGAACACATCAAGTTAAGGAGTTTTTGCATGGCAAAGAAACAATCAA
The DNA here is from genome assembly GCF_000001405.40 of Homo sapiens. NCBI lineage: Eukaryota > Metazoa > Chordata > Mammalia > Primates > Hominidae > Homo > Homo sapiens. The sequence continues at coordinate 82,195,023 of NC_000013.11, forward strand.
CACTTTCAAGAGCCAACCCATACAATGGGATAAAATATTTGCAAACTATCCATCTGACAAGGGATTAATAACCAGAATATATAAGGAACTCAACCAAGTCTATAAGAAAAAATTGAATAATGTTATTAAAAAATGGCAAACTACCTGAATGGACATTTCTCGAAACAAGACATACAAATGGCAAACAGGCATATGAAACAGTGCTCAACATCATTGATCATCAGAGAAAGGCAAATCAAAACTACAATGAGATATCATCTCATCCCAGTTAAAATGTCCTTTATCCAAAAGACGGGCAATAACAAATGCTAGAGAGAATGTGAAGAAAAGGGAACACTTGTACAGTTAGTGGGAATGCAAATTAGTTCAGCCTAACCTACATTTGGAGGTTCTGCAAAATACTAAAAATAGAACTACCATATGATCCAGCAATCTCATTGCTACTAAGTATATACACAAAAGAAAGGAAATTAGTATATGGAAGAGATATCTGAACTCCCATGTTTATTCAGACTATTAACAATAGCCAAGATTTGGAAGCAATCTTTAAGTGTCCATTAACAAATGGTACTGGCACAAAAACAGACATATAGATAATACAATAAATGGATTAAATAAATGTGGTGTCACTGGCCACCTACTGCCATAGATATGCATGTTGTGGCCAAGGGTAGCAGGTGAGGTTGCAGAGTGTGGCCTCCTAATGCCAACATGTGGAGCATAGGGAGCTAAAAGTCCTTACCCCTGTTCTTGCTGCTGCTACTGTTCCTGCAGGTGGATCAGTGGCCCACAAATGCCCCAGTGTGGAGCAAGGCCTAACATTCTCCAGAGCCTCACTGGGTTTCCTGTTTCCTTCTCCTGAGAACTATTCAGCCATAAAACAGAATGAGATCCTGTCATTTGCAACAACATACATGGAACTGAAGGTCATTATGTTAAGTGAAATAAGCCAGGCACAGAAAGATCATCTTCACATGTTCTCACTTATTTGTGGGAGCTAAACATTGAAACAATTGAACTCATTGAAATAGAAAGTAGAATGATGGTTACCAGAGTCTGGGAAGGGTATTGGGAGGCAGGGAAGTGGGAATGGTAAATAAGTACAAAAATATAGTTGTATAGAAAGAATAATATCTAGTATTTGATAACACAATGCCCTGATCAGTGGCCACATACCATGTTTCTAATATCATGTTAATCTGCAACAGATGCAAGTGAGCTATAACTGGATATTAGAGGATCCATCTAGTTTTCGTAGGGGTAAAACCAGTGAATTAACTAACGATATGATATATGGCACTATCCATCTTTTAGGATGACACAACTTTCTGCCATTCCCTTTGAGATACATTATTATTTCAAATTAAACCCTTGGCTGGGGTCAAAAGTAATTTCAAAGTATTCCACTTAGCATTTGTCATTAAAATAGCTCTTAACCTACAAATCAAGGACTGAATGCTAGGATTCTGCTGAGACAAAATATGCTCTTTCTAATAATACAGCTTTTCCACTTCTTTGAACAATGTGTTTACTTCTTGCACCATTTGCCATGACAGTACTGGTATTTCTACTTCATTTGGTACCAGTTATCTCTTTAAAAAAGCTTTTAGGTACTGTTATTACTATGGATTGATTCCTTATCCTTTACAGAATGTTGATAACTGTTTGAGGGAAGAATTCTCCCACATAAATACTTAATCATCTAACCTTATGTTCCACCTCGACTGGCTTTCAGAATCAAGTTCTGCACATGATCCCCCAGATCCTGACAATATATTATGTCTTGCAGCTTCATCAGTTTATAGTCCTTTTTCTCTTTTACTAGCCACAATACTTCTGCAGTCTTTAAGTGCGACCTTACCACAGTTATTTGTCAGAAAGGGATGTGGAAATAGATCTAGAAGAAGTTCCTATTACCTTGCAAGGCATAGGCATTTGTAAGACAGGAGAAATAGGCTTTAACAGGGAAGAGTGGGTTACTTATCCGAGAATGTATGGTTTAGAAAGATCTTAAGATTTTTCAATGTATTCAACCAATATTTCTCAACTCTAAGTCCTACAGACCCACTCCTTCCTAACTAGGGTCAAGGCCTACTGTGCCAAGACCTGATATAACTGGCTTGAGTGGTAAGAATGAATCATTCTCTGGAGTTGCACTAATCTTATAAATAAGTATTGTGCCTAATACTCAGGTTTTTCTATGCTACAGCCACAGGAGATAACTATCTTTATAAGATGCCACAGTAACTTTCTAAATTTAATACTTAATTTCAACTGGCTAATACTCATTCTCAATATTTCACTATTTTTTCTTCAGTGCATTCATGGCACTCAGCAGCAGCCATTTAATATCACTGGCCTCATGTATAGTGCACCTACCATCGTGTATTTTTGTCCATCTTCCATTAGTACACTATACCAGTTTACCATCTGCAAAATTTTTAACAATCATATTGCTCTTCTGCATTAGAAGCTTTTACTGATTTACTGGCTACAATTAATAGAGTCTACATTGCCAGCATGCTGGTGGGCGATCCAACTCCAAATTTCCATCTGAGAGTCGGCTGTTTTCAGCCACACCTGGAAACAATTATAATAGGCCAATGCCATAGGAAACAGATGCTGGCACAGAGATTTGTGAGCAGAAATTTTACTGAAGAGTGCCCTCAGGATCAATACATGTATACGAGTAGAAAAAAAGCAGAACAGGGCGGAGTGCGTTGAACTGCAATGCAGTTACAATAAAAACCGCGACCAATCCCACAAGAAGCTTTGGAGCTGGAATAATACTTCTGAATCGTCCTTCCTAAAGGCAAAGAAACTGGCATTTATGCCCACAGGACATCAGTTATTAGATACACTCTGTCCCCAGTAGAGACATTGACTATGGAAGAGGCAGCTTTCTTATGCTAAATGTAATTCCCAGAAAGGAACATATCTGAGAGTCCAGAAGCTGGGGAAAAAAAAATGTTTCAGGCCCGAAAAGGAGGGATCTTCTAGGTGAACCCTTGTATTCAGTTCCTGTAATAATGTCCAGATTTTTTTGACCCATTTATTAAGGATACATCGTTCTCTTCATTGCTAGTACAGGCATTCTTTCATTATCTACATTAGTAATCCATTTGTGTCTCTCAGGAGGGTTCTTGTTAAACCAACAATGTGCCTTAAATCTCAATGGCTTAAGTAATAAAGATATGTTTCTTATTTGTGACACACATCCAAAATGGCTTGTTAGAGGGTTTTTCTCATGTTAATCATTCAGGGGCCCAGGCCAAAGGAGAATATATTTGCTTGGGATATTATGTTGTTGTAATAGAAGATGGAGGATGGTAAACTGTGTATTGATTATAAAACTTCCACTTTGAAATAAAATGTTATTTTTTGCTTCTTTATTGAGCAAAGCAGCTTTGATGTCTACTCAAATTTTCACAGAAGCCAGCAATGAAATCTTACTACGTAAAACAAAATTATAATAAACAGTTGATCCATGAGCAGCCTTAATGAATAAAATTGCTTGACGCCTTTGAGGCTAGACTCTAGTCTCTTACTTTCTTTACCTTCTAATTCCTCATAATCATTTCATCCTAGTTTAGCCACTCCCTTTATGGGTAAATATGGAAGATCTTTTTTATTTCTAATAATCCTCCAAAATCTTGATTTTAAGTGTTCTTTACTCATACCTCAATCTCCTCTCTTAAAGTTTATATATTCTAGTAGACATCTCAGCAATCGTTTATCCCATTTAAATGTCCAAATCATTCACTCTGACCTCTTACCCAACTTGCATTCCATGAAGCAAACCAAAAGTATCATTCAATTATTGTACCACTCAGCCTCTCCACTGAACTCTCCTGGAAAACCTTACCTATATTATTTCTGCAAAAGAGGAGCTGCATTTATTATTGAACAACAACAACAAGGAACATTCAGAGTTTTAAAAAATTTTAAATATCACCACAAATTTATAAAACTATAGAACAGAAACTTTTATAAGCACTTTAAATATATAAACAAATTTACTCATTACAAAAATGTTATGCTGTATTACTATTGCCACAAATTTACAGAGAGAAACATGAGGTATGGTGTTAAATAACTTGTGTCAGTTAACAGTGAAGCCCATAGAAAAATACAAGCAACTTTTTCTCAAACTGGATGTTCTAATCTCTAATTTCTCCATTAAAAATATATTTGTCAGTAAATTCACTCACAGTTTTCAGATTCTACTTTTTTTCTATAATATTCACTGTCTTCTCAATTTCAGCCATTTACTTGCTATTCATTTCACCAAGAAAACAGATGTAATCATGTGAGATCAAAGTCATGTTATCCAATCTATACAATCTATGTAATCCGTCTACTTCCACATCAGGTGTCTTCTATGGTGTTAATTTTTAAAACTGTTCCACCCATCTACATCCAATTCTTTCATCAGTAAAACTTTTTACTCTCATGCACTACACTCAGGGAGTTTTGTGCTGCATTTATTCTCTCTGTGTCCTATGTCATGATTTATTTTTCAATTTACTGGATTATACCTTGAACCCTTTACTGAATCAGTTTTTTAAGCTTAAACATGTGCCCTAATATATCACATTAAAAAAAAACAAACATTTATCTTGATGATGTAGCTTTATATAACTACTACATTACTTCTCTGTTCCAATTTTCAGCAAAAATCTTAAAATATTTCTCTTAACCTACTGCTTCACTATCTCCATATCCCAATACAACCCCCCCCCCACATTATCTCATTCTGCTCAAAGCAGAAATTTGTGTACACAATTGTTCTGAACAAAATCACAAATGGAAAAACCAGAGTTGAGTGAAGTGGGGCTTGAAATATTAATAGTTGTTACTATTTTTATTTAGCAATCTCAATTTGGGATTTTTTTTAAATAAAAATATGTGGCCGGGCGTGGTGACTCACACCTGTAATCCCAGCACTTTGGGAGGCCGAGGCAGGAGGATCACCAGGTCAGGAGTTCAAGACCAGCCTGGCCAACATGGTGAAACGTGTCTCCACTAAAAGTACAAAAAATCAGCCGGGCGTGGTGGCAGGCACCTGTAATCCCAGCTACTCAGGAGGCTGAGGCAGGAGAATAGCTTGAATCAGGAAGGCAGAGGTTGAAGTGAGCTAAGATCGTACCACTGCACTACAGCCTGAGAGACAGTATGAGACTCCAACTCAAAAAAATAAAAAAATAAAATAAAATAAAAATATGTAAAAGAACCAGTGTTTATAAATGACAAAATGAACTTGAGTTCAAGAATGTCTATCCTATTCAGAGAGAGGTATACTTTACAGTTTATTACAGACTTCCTGGTGGAGGAGGGATATAGTTTCCCAACCTGGCTCTGGTCTTCTGAATCAGGGACAATGATTACAACAGAGTCAATTCAGCCCCTTTGTAACCCAGAGGCTGATTGGTCTCTGCTCTCTCTATCAGGAAATGAGTAGGTTATCTAATTATTGTTATTTCAGATATCATTCTACAAATCTAGCAATTGATTTTTCTCTCCATAATATAAGTTGGCTTTTAGTCACAGTTAATTTTGCTTTTAGATGAATCTTTATTAATATTTTTGTGGGAAGTTGGAGACACTGACAAATACTGCTAGTCTTATACTATTATAGAAGGAAATTCATAGAAGTATAATTCAAATGCAAGCAGCACAAATAGAAAAGTCAACAATTAGAAGAAAGAAGAATTATAAGGAAATAAGACAAACATGAAATATTTTACATTTGACTTCTATTTTCTATAAAAATGCATTATATATCAATGGTATCAAAACTTAGCTATACATTGGACTTACTAGCAACTGTGAAGCATATTAAAGCACATTAGATATTTCCAGTACTCATTTCAAATATTCAGAATCTGTGGTTGGGTAATAAAAATCCCTACGTCAAAGGACCTCCATATAATGACATAGTGCATAATAGACTATCCAGGCACCAGTCAGCAAAGGAATGCTTGTGTTGGCTGCTTTCACTTCCTCAGATACATATTTGTTTGAATTTGGAAATATAAGGCAAGTGGAAAATCAAGAGAGTAAATGATAATCTCTTTATATTTTGTTGAGGAAAAGGGACTTTGTTTTCATAATTAATGATAAAAATTTTAAATGCCAACTCACAGAAACATTTTCAATAAAATAATTTTAAAAGCATTTGCATTTCCACAAGCACATTTATGATGTTTTTCCATGATTAGCAAAAGTACTTAATAACATTATTAAAGATATCATTCATTATGTTCAGACTACATGAATGTAAAAATCTATTGTGTTCTCTATTCAAACTACTTTCAGGCCTTTCTTTAGTAGGGATGTTATATTATCTATGTATTGACAACACAGACAACTTTACCTCCTCAAGTGTCATCAATTGTGGCAGATATAGCTGCTGTACAATGAGTCCACATTTTCAAACAGGAGTGTGCTACTTTCTAGAATAATACATAAAGCAAGGAGTCAGCAGCCACAGAGTGCATCAGAAGAAAGAAAAATCTTGACTAAAAGCAACCAGACAAGCCTGTTCACCAAAAAGAATTTCAGGCTTTTGAGTATACACAGACAATAAAGTTAACAGGGTCATTAATCTTAAAAAAATAATGTATGTGCACCTTAGAATGATTGATACTATTAATATTCAACCCAAGGGGAAGATGAATTCAAATGGTAAGAGGAAAGACTATTATTTTTTATATAACTTAGTATTCAAAACATTTACATGTTAAGCAGAAACTACAAGTTGAAAAATCTTACTGCATTGCATTATGTAAATTAATGCATATAAATATTGATCCAATTTATATTTCTAAACATTGTGATCATAATTCTTAAGAACTATATATATATATGCATAACTAAATTAAATAAACTCTACTTTAAAAAGTAAGTCCACATTATGATATCAGAATAGGATTTTTTAAAATGCCTCTTGTAGCCATGCTGTTACAGAAGCATGTTCACGTCTTGAGTGTATTACAAATGACAGAATTTTAAATCAGGTATGACTTAAACCATGTTTAAAAATGGATAATTTCCTTTAAACCTCCAATATTGAAATAAAAAAGGATGTTACATTTTTAGTCAATTGGAGCCAATCTCAAATTAAGAAAGGTAAATGTAGCTTTGAAATTAATAGTGCTGTGTGCTAAACTGTAGAAACCACACATGCCTGCTTTCTATTTGTAATTGACTTATTTTCATCATTCTAGGAAGTTATTTTAAACTTTTAATGGATTTAATATTTGATTCTTTTAGGAAGAGGACTGCTACAACATCAGTTTTACATAATTACATTTTATGCAATTCACAAATTATGTCTATAAATTTAATAAAACCATTCAGTTTACTGAACTCTTTATATTATGTGTTGTTTATTAAGCACTTTATCTACACTGCCTTAAGTCGATTCAAACAGGTAAGTCTTATCTTCCCAACTAAACTCTAATTTTTTGAGTGAAAAATCTAATTATCATTTAATCATAATTCCACATCAAATAAGCATTTATTCAGCATATGCCCTAAGACAGATTCTGAATTGGTTGCTATGGATACAAACCTAAATAGAGAAGTAGACTCTTGCCTTGAGGATGAAAATATAGGAGATAGACACATCAGCAAACACATACAATACCATATAGTGAAAGTTATTGTGGAACTGTGTATGCCAGTTTGAAAATGATCTATTGGGATGCATCAGTTACAGCCTTAAAGTCTTTATCATCCTTTATAATGCTCAGCATATAATTACTCATTAGTCTTCACAAAATACACATCAATGGGCAGACTATCTTCGTTATAAAGATATGGAAGTTGAAGAAATAGGAAATTCCCACAATTCTTGCCTACTTACTAACATCTTTATAACATTATAAAACATATAAATTACTCATATGCATGTTTATGTATATAACCAAAATCACACACATACACACACACACACATATATATATATACTTCTAGTTATTATTCCATTAGATGGTGAGAGTGTATGGTTAAAATATAAAATGGAATAAAACACAGCAAGAGGCAATTTTATGTTTTTCTAAAAGTTTGAAAAGTGCTTTTCTGGATATGAATCTATTGTTAGCTAAATATCTACAGAACTCACAAACATTTAGGTTGGCCAGAGAAGATAAAATAAACCTACTTTCTTTGTTCATAAAATGGAATTCCTTGTTACATTTGCTGCCTGCATTAACTATTGAATTTATAAAAACAAAACAACAATTGAACAAACAATGCCTACACAGCAAGTTAAAAATATGAGGTTTGGAAATAGTTTTAAATGTCTTCCAGCTGTAATTATTTAACTTTTAAAAAGCTGACCTATTCTTTTTTACTATGGTTTTGATTGAAGACATTCAATAAAAGTTTTATCACTGAATGGTTATGCATAAGCGCTTACATCTTTTTTTCCCCTGAAAAAGTTTTAATACTGTTTACTATTCATGATAAAAGTTTTTCAATCTCAAAGCAAACATGAATTGACTTAAATGCATAGCTGAAAATCTGATGCCAATATTTGAATTACCATTTATTTATTCTAGCAGAAGAAATGTTTTCTTGATATACATTGCTTCTTTGAGTAAAAATAAATTGAGGAGACAGAGCTGAAAGTTCAGTGAGAAAAAGTTAAAAATTGCAACACAGAATACTGGAGAGGCTTCACAAAGAGATAACCCCGCATATCTAAAAGAGGTTTGAATACCGATCAACACAAATGTTTGAAGAATTACTTGGTAGAAACTAAAACAATACACAAACAAATAAATCTAAAAATATTAACAAACAATGTCCAGTGTTCATATAAACTGGAGAAAATGCCTATTTCTATCAGTCAAACTAGGAAAACTTAATGATTTGTATAATATTTGCTGGTTTGAATGATTGTGTCTCCTGAAATATCAAATGTTAAATTCTAACCCCCAAGGTGATGGTGTAAGGAAATGATGACTTTGGGAAGAGTGTAGGTCATGAGGGTGGAACCCTCATCAATGAGATTAGTGATTCTGATAAAAGGGATCCTAGAGAACTGCTTTGCCCTTTTTACTGTGCAAAGACCCAGCAAGAAGGTAGTGTATATAAACTGAAATTGCGCCCTCAATAGACCCTGAGTCTGAAGACATCTTGACCTTGGAAATCCCTGCCTCCAGAACGGTGAGAAATAAATTGCTGTTGTTTATAAAGTAACCTGTTTATGTTATTTTTTTATAGAAGCCTGATCAGAATAAGACAATATTGGATAGAATATTCAGGAATGTCTTGCCTCCAATGTTGGCCCCCCTGTACTGAGCTCTAATCTACACTCACCTAAAAAATTATAAAATCATAATAAAACTGAAAAAGTCAAACTCTCAATTGCATCCCAGCACAAATATCACAGATGTTTATTTAAAAAATTATGTCAAGCCCCTAAAAAGCTAAAATCCACAGTTCTGCTAATATTTCTCTTTATCCAAATATCTGCTAAACTTTTACAATATACATAGCATTATATAGACATGGCTTGATTCAATCATGTAAATTATATATTAATTACTCTTTATTTTTTGCATGTATCCTTAGAAAGACAACTTTGTATGTAGTGTGTAACTTTGATCCTAAAGGTAATAAACTCTGATATCTCATAGATATTAATAGAATCCACAATACATGTGTGTGAACAATCATAGCACAATTGGGCCCCTAGTTTAAAAATATAGGAATGGTGGAAAATGACGATAAGTAATCAACCAAGAAATTAAAAGAATTAGAAGACGATTTGAAGTGGAGGGGTGTACATAAGCTATCTCTGAGGACTTAACACTGTTATTTAGTAAAAGATAATAACAGTGTGATCTAAGAAACTGAAAGTAGAGAAAATTGAAGTGTTTATTATTGTTTATGGCTATGGTATTTAATGTAAGTGAAATAACGATGGCAACAGTGGCCCACCTGGATCAGCCACTGCCAGGATGCCAGTTGCAATGGGGCAGGCTCAGGCTGGGCTCCACACTTCGTGGAGCCAGCAGGAGCCAGGAACACATAGGAGCCCTGCCTTCCTGGGCACAGCTGTAGCCACCCATGTCATGGTTGTGGACCCAGGACTCCCTGTGCTCTTGGGGACCAGGAGCAGGCAGGAGACCCCTGCCTTCCCAAGCACAGCTGCGCCATCCAGGCTGCACTCTCGGGGGTCTGGGTAGGCCCAACTTCTGGTGCAGGAATCTCTGCACTCTCAGGAGTCCGGGTAGGCCCCACCTTTCTGCGCAGGCTTGGAGGTGTCTGCTCTCACTGCCTGGCCTCTTCCAGCTTTCAGAGCCCTCTGTGCTCTTGGAACAAGGTTGGGGCTGAGCCCAGGCTGCACATGCTCAAGCAGTACTGACACACTGTACAGGCCCCTGCCATCTCAGCTCCCTCCAAACTTTGGGTTTCAATGAGCACAGGAGGGAGGATGAGGGGAACATGAAGGCAGCTTGGCACTGACCTACAGGTGCCCCTTGGCATGAACAGCCTGGGCACCATGAATGGCAGCAGGAGGCAGACAGACTCCTGGATGGACGGGGGTGGGTCCCTGGTGAAGTTCAACCTTCAAGCTGGGGAGGGTCTGATGCCTTTGGCCTGGGCTGCCAGTCCCACCGACCAGAATGGGAACTTACGGTTCTTTTTTCAGGCCCACCCATGGCTGCTTATAGACCAATCAGTGCTCACCTCCTACACTCTGAGGCTCATAAAAGCCCTGGACTCAGCCAGACTTGAAACGATGGGATATCCAGCTGTGGAGAGGAGCTACCCACTCCAGGATCTCCTCTCTGCTGAGAGCTGAACACTCGATGGGATGACCTGCCTATGGAGAGAAGCTACCCAATCCAGAGCCTCCTCTCTGCTGAAAGCTGAACACTTGTCAGGACACCCTGCCTGCACAGAGGAGCTACCCAATGTGGGTCTCCTCTGAATTGTTCTATCACTCAATAAAGCTCCTCTTTGCCTTGCTTACCCTCCACTTGTCCATGTACCTCATTCTTCTTGGATGCAAGACAAGCACTCAGGACCCACTAAATGCTGGGGCTAAAAGAGCTGTAACACAAAGAGGGCTGAAACACACCCCTTGCTCATCACATTGCAGGCAACTAGAAGGAGATAAAAAAGGAGAGAAGAGCTGTGGCTCTTCAGGGAACCCAGACCTAGGAGTTTCCCAAGCCAGTGCTGTGACACCCTCTTTGGGGCTCTGTGGTTCCTGGTATCTCCAAGCTTCCAGGCATCACTGCCTTCCCTAGTGCCAGCCGTGGAAGATGCTTGTGGTATGCATGGTCCAGCTGCAACCTTGCAGGGAGCTAACACCCAAGCCGGTGCCAGGAGCTGCCCACCCTACCACAACTGGTGTGCCTGGCTGTACACAGTGGCCAAACCCTATGCTCGCTCACACACTCCTCGGCCCTCCATGCTTGGCTCACCCTTGGCAGGCATGGGATCCAGGCCGGTAGTGCAAGCCAAGGGCAGCCTGTCAGGACGAGTGAGTAGAATGAGCCCAGCAAACCTGAGTGAAACTCAGGCAAAGGCACCACTGGCCACAGAGGTTTCTGGCTGGCACAGCAACATTCCAAGGATCCTGTGACAATAATAGAATTATTTTGGAAGCAAAGCTGATAAGTTCTTTCTCATGCAAAGAAAAATCCTGCAATCATTGTTATCTTGATTTTTCCCATATATGTTTTGGACAAAAAAATCAAATAGAAGTTTACCTTACTTTATTTTGCTTTGCTTTAGTATGCTTCACACACATTGTGTTTTTTACACATTGCAGGTTTGTGAAAACCCTGTCAACCAGATCTATGGGCAGGATTTTTGCAATAGCATGTGCTTATTTCATGAATCATTGCAACATTTTGGTTATTCTTGCAATGTTACAAACTTTTTCATTATTACTATATTTTTGTTATATAATATCTGTGATTGGTAATCTTTGATGTTACCATTGTAATTGTCTAAGGGTGCCACAAACCACATCCAGTAAGATGACTAACTTAATTGATAAATGTGTGTATTCTGACTGTTCCATCAACCCACTTTTCCTCATTTTTCTCTCTCTTCTTGGGCCTCCCTATATCCTGAGACACAAAACTATTGAAAATCGGCCAGTTTATAATGCTACCATTGTTTTTAAGTGAAAGGAGTAATCATGCTTCTCTCACTTTAAATAAAAAGCTAGAAATTATTAAGTTCAATGAAGAAGGCATGGTGAAAGCAAAAATAGGCTGAAGAAATGGGGGAACAATGATTGGGAGCTGAAAATAGCAAAAAGTTTCAGTGAGGTGGGGTCTGTGTTACTTACAAAGAAATTTATAGTGTGTTAGATGAAAAACATTGACAAAATAGCTTAGTGGTTAATATAGAGGTATGAAGTTTTTTTTTTTCTCCCAATAGATAACGTAAGTTTTTTCACCTGCTTCTAATGCAATCTATTTAGTAACTGGTCTTAAACTGTGTACCCATTCGTATACAGGGGTACTCCCTTTTGCTTGGTTTTGCTTTTTGTTGTTTGTTACTTGCTGTCATCTGTAGTCCAAAAAGATCAAATGGAAAATTTCAGAAATAAACAAGTCACAAGTTAAAAAATAATAATAATCAAAAAGAAGATTGGAAAGCTAAGTAAGCAAACTGTAACTACTTGGTTGTTTTGGGAGGTTTATTGAAATTAAATAAAATAAGCAATCGTAATAATAGTTTTTTTCAAATAATGAATTATATTTAATTCATTATTTACCTTCAATCACTAATATAATGGTATTTATCAACAAGGCCAGTATGTTTTTTCAAGTGGCAATACAATGTTGATCTCATTGGATTGACTGCTCATCCATCTACCTCAGTATGGACGCTTTATAAAATGACTATTATTTCATATTCCCAATGAGCTAAAACATGATCTTTTAAAATCTGTTAGTTTTGGAAATTATGCATGGTATGGACTTACAAACAAGTTTGAATCAAGATGTCATTATGACCAAATCACATTTTATATAAAATAATGTGTAACAATGTCAATTATGTAACAATTCAAATAAGTTGTTCTGGTATTTTTAACTGCCACTTGCCAAGAAATTTTGAGTGAAAGCTCTTACAGCACATCAATCTTATTATTCAATATTGATCAAGCCAGTCTCACTCCTCTGAAATTAAAATATGTTCCATGTGCAAAAACAATGTTAATGCAAAAACCTGTGTTATCTGCTGCCTCAAAGGAGCAATTCATAATGGGCCATTATAGGACCCCAATAAATATTAGCTTTAAATATTGAGTAGCTTTTAATTCTGAAGTCAACTATAATTTTTTAAAAATATGTATTCTAAATAAAATTTCTCTAGTGAGAAATAGGGCCTTTGTAGATAATACTGACAAATGTGACACAGCCAAATGGTAAGATGAAATGGGAGAGTATATAAAAGTAGATATGAAATGTAAGATTAAAATTGATTTGGTTTGGATTTGTGTCCCCACCCAAATCTCATGTCTAATTGGAGGATGGGCCTGGTGGAAGGTGATTGAATCATGGGGTGGATTTCTTCCTTTCTGTTCTTGTGATAGTAAGTTCTCACGAAATCTGATCACTTAAAAATGTGTGGCACCTCCCCGCTATCTCCCTCCTCCTCCACCATGGTGGGATATACTTGCTTCACCTTAACCTTGTGCCATGATTGTTAGTTTCCTGAGTCCTCCTAGCCATGCTTCCTGTACAGCCTGTGGAACTGTGAGTCAATTAAACCTCTTTTCTTCATAAATTACCCAGTCTCAGTCAGTTCTTTATAGCAGTGTGAGAATGGACTAATACAGAAATCACATGCTAGTTTATGTACTTTTAATATTTATTTTTTGTCTGTTAAATTATTTGATAATTAGAAGCAGGAAAATAAAATAAATATTTAGACCTCTAAAAGAATTCTGAAAAGTGAACTGAAGGATGAGGAAAGAACAGCCAGAAATATCATGCAGTCATTTGATAACACAAAATTTCTTGCCACTCACATTTTTTGTTTCACTTACCTCAAGCTGGCAGTGTGATTGATATATATATATATCTGTATATATGTATATATATATATGTGTGTGTGTATATACATGCTATATATAAAAATATAAATATTTTTATATATTTATATATTATATTTATATATCTTATATTCTATTTATATATCTAATATATTCATTTATATATTATATATTATATATTTATGTATTTAAATATATAAAAATATAAATATATATAAATATATAGCATGTATATATATACACATATATACATATATATGCATATATACATATATACACACACATATATATACATATATATACACACACACATATATATATACACACACATATATATATGGCTGTTCTTTCCTCATCCTTCAGTTCACTTTTCAGAATTTATATATATAAATAAATACATAGCGTGTATATATACACACACACACACATACATTCATTACTATTTAGAGGGTTTTAGAAATTCTGAAGCTATTTGTGTGTATTATAAGATTAGGCTAATAGAAAAGAATATGTATTTATAGTGTGGGATTCTAGAATTTTTTTGTGTTGAAAAAATGTTCCATGAGGAAAAGCAAGGAAGAACTCTACTGCCTTGCAGTAGGATTAGAACAATTTATATAAATTTATGATTTAAAAGATTTTAAAAGTCGAAGCATGTGAAATTGCCATTGTTCCTGTTCTGTCTGCTGAAATAACCTAGAAACAATGATATTCCATTAGGGATGAACAGCTATAGTACCCAGGTCTTAATTTCTAAGTAATATTTCTCATGAAAAGAAATAGGAGAACTCTTGTGAAATAGATGACTTCAAAGTTGGGATAGAAAAAATATGACATAAGCCAGTCATTTGTTCTGCAGGAAGTAAGAAATATGTACATATAAGTTTTATATATATATATGTGTGTGTTTGTATATGTGTGTGTGCACACACGCAAGTCCATGTAATTTATCTTCATCCGAGATTAAACTTCTTATGTACTCAGCAGTCTAAGAACTGACTGGTAGGTATTTCTCTATCTATTGATCACAATTATCCAGATAACATCACCTGGAGATGACAACCTTCAAACGACATAAGATTTTGTTTTCTTTCTTTACCTGCTCTATTTAAGACATTTGACCTGCTGGGATATCACGAGAAAAAAATTTGCATCCTTAAGCACAGATAATCCAATATGTATAGGTAAATGCTGTATAAATAAGATCCCGGAATTTCAAAACAGAACATTGTGAAGGGCTTCCCAGAACAACTGAAGAAAGAGACTGCACTAAGCTAAATTATCCTGCCTTTCCTTTAGTAGGCCATAAATATTCTTTTTCTCCTATCACATGCATTTAGGGGGTTTACGTACTAGAAGTTAACATGTTCTCTTGGGAGGAGAAATAATTGGAAGGAAATATGAGAAAATTTGTATTGTTATATTGCTTTTAAATCTGTGTGATATTCAATACTGTTCCCTAAGCTTAACTAGACATTATTTTTCTTTTATGCCCATTTACTTAGGTTAGTACATGTGACAATTAAATCTAAAATTTGACAAATCAAATAATTTTATTTAACCTTTATTATCCCAAAACCCAAAGGGCCAATGATATTGAGACATGGATCCTGGGACTAGAATATTTTATTCCATCTTAGTTAAATCTTTAAAAAAGGAAAGAAGAAAAGCAATGATCTCAAGTTAAAATAAGTGGAGGTACAGCTGGGAAATGTGGAGAAGTAAATCAGTCCTCCTTAGTGCATGACCAGAATACTAGAAACCTGTCCTAACATGAGTCTCTGTGAATACCATGAGGTATAAACTACAGGTAGAAATTAACTAGACAGGGATACAGGTTAGATAAATCATGTTATAATGATCCTCACATGGAGTAAATTACTTCCTCTTTGCAGCCTATATCTCATCCCTTCAAACACAAGATGAGTGCTTTCTAAGACCGCTGGCTATTAATATGACACCCTCAGATTTTAAAAATAATTTGTTACTAGGCTCTAGCTATTCTAAATGGAAGGGTACTTTTTTAAATAAAACATTTTTATTGTACCATGGAAAGATACATCCAAACAATTGAAATTGAAAGATACAGTTTGAGAATATCAGGAGTACACCTGTGTTAATAAAACCTCTCCTAGTATAAAATCTATTTTACTATTCTGAAATATCCTTACAAAATATTCAGCCATTTGTGTACCTAAATAATTGTGATAGCGGGTCTTCAGGGCAAGACATAGTTTAAATTACTTTCAGTTTATTAAGGCCAATAAATGAACATAGAAGGCAAGAAATTAATCATAATTAGGCAATTAGCACTTGAGACAAACAGTATAATTTACCTCAAATTATCAGATGAAGGAGAAAGAGTGAGAAAGGGAAAAAATGATGTAGAACTAATTACTTATGATCTGGATGACTGTTCCTACAGTACATTCTTGTAATAGGATATAACTGCAATACATAATAGAGACCAAACTTTGACAGTGACTTAAAAAGTAATTTATTTTACTTACCTGAAATTTATTTACTCCAATGTAGTAGCCTAAATTTAACCTGTAATAGCCTTTTTAAGGTTTGTCAGCAAGCTCTGTTCCAAAATGTAATATAATACTTTGACTCCTTCTGTCTTGTTGCTGCATCGTTTTAGTGTGATGTCCACAGATGCATTTTGCAAAATGCAGCTATACTGATCATTTTCCAGGCACCTGAATTTTAAAAAGGGAGAAAAGGTGCTCTGTTTCCTTGATGGAAATGGCATAAAAGATGTATATATCATTGTTCCTCAAATATAAGGCTGCCAGATTTAGCAAATAAAAATACTGGATGCTCAGTTAAATTTGAAATTCATATAAACAAATATTTTAGCATAAATATATATTATGCAATAGTGGAACATAATTATATTTAAAGTATTGGGAAATACACTAAATGTATGTGTATGTGAATATATATATATAAACACATACATATATATACATACATATATATACACACACATACACACATATATATACATATATATTCATATAAGTTTGATTGTTATCTGAAATATCTGTGTTTGCCTTGGCTATGCTACTCACATCTTATTGAGACTACAATTTAATCAAAATCATCTATTATTAAAGTAAACAAAGAAACATAAACTTCTCCAGATCATCTTGCTGCTAGCTAAAAATCTTGGGTTCTCTGATTATAGACAGCAGGAAAAATAGATATTGAAAACACAAATACAGTCTCTACAAGTGGTATCTTCTGGGACTGATGTAGCCACTAATGAATTCAGTGTCCCTAACAGAAGTGAACCAGTTAGTAAAAAATGAAATAATTCATAAAACCAAAAAGCATAATTTCTGTGATTGCCTCATCTGTCAAAGTTGTATCAAGAACTGAAGTCTACTTTAAGATTTGATCTCAGAATTCTTAGTCATCAGAGGACCAAGCATCAAATAAATCAATCTGTTGCTGGCATAACCACAAGAAAAAAATCCCTTTTAGGCAAATGAGAATGCATTTGTTCTATTTTTAATAATATCAGCCTCAAGTACATCACAAGCATTTGTTTACCTTTGTTACATTTTTCATGCTTATTGAAATGCATGTAGGATTGATATGAAGGCACACTTACAAACTTTCATAAAGAATTACATTTTGTAACCATAGCCTTGAATATTAATGATTTTTATGTTTATTATAAGTCGAGGCTGGGTGCAGTGCCTTGTGGCTGCAATCCCAGCACTTTGGGAGGCTGAGGCCAGCAGATCACTTGAGCCCAGGAGTCTGCGATCAGTCTGGGAAATATTGCAAGACCTTGACTCTACATAAAATAAAAAATTAGCTGGGCATGGTGGCATGCCCCTGTATACCCTCTCTGCTACTTGGGAGGCTGAGGTGGGACGATCACCTGAGCTTGGGAGGTCGAGGTTGCAGTGAGCCGTGAGCATGCCACTGCACTGTGGGCTGGGCAACAGGTTGAGACCCTGTATCAAAAAAAAAACTGACAATCTGTAATTACATCAATTTTTATAGTACAAAGTGTTGTTATGGTTTATGAATACAATATAGAATAATTAAATCAAGTTAATTAAGGTATCCATCACCTCAAATGTTTTCTAAGAATACTTAAAATTACTTCCTTAGCAATTTTGCAATGTACAATATACTATTACCAACTTTATTCACCATATTCTGAAAATCATCTCATTTTAAAATGTATTCCTCCTGAGATATTGTACACTGTGGTCCTTACATCCCCATTACCACCAGCTCCCAATCTCTGTAACCCACATTCTATTCTTTGCTTCTATGAGTTTGACTGTTTTGGATTCCACCTATAATGAAAACATGAGGTATTTGTCTTTCTTTGCCTGGCTTGTTTCACTTAGCATAATACTCTAAAATTTCATATACGGGGTTGCAAATGACAGAATTTCTTCTTTTTTAAGGCTGCCTAGTATTCCATTATGTACCTTTACCACCTTTTCTTTAAGTGTTCATCAATTGATGGATACATAAGTTGACTCCATAACGTGACTTGTGAATAGTGGTGCAATGAACATGGAAGTGCACACATCTCTTTCACAAATTGACTTTAATTGTTTTAGGTAAATATTTACAAGTAGGATTGCTGGATCATATGATAATTCTATTTTTAGTGTTTCAGAAATCTCTGTACATTTTTCTATAACGACTGTATTAGTTTACATTCCCAACAATAGTGTTCAGGGTTTCCTTTTATCCACATTCTAGCTAACAATTTTTATATTTTGTCTTTTGGATAACAATAATTCTGACAGGTGTAAGATGATATCTTATTGTGGTTTTAATATGCACTTCCATAAGGATTAATAATGTTGAGCATTTTTTCACATATATGTTGGTCATTTGTATGTCATCTTTTGACAGCTGTCTATTCTGGTCTTTTTTCCATTTTTCAATTGCTTTTACTTGTTTGTTTCTTTGGTTTGGTTTGTTATTGAGTTGTGTAAACTACTTATATATTTTGGATATTAATTCCCTATCAGATATATGGCTTGCAAATATTTTCTCCCAGTCTGTAGGTTGTTAGTTCACACTGTTAACTATTTCATTTGCTGTTCAGAAGATTTTTTAGTCTGGTATAATCCCATTTACCTATTTTTGCTTTTGTTGCCTGTGCTTTCAGGGTCAAATCCAGAAAAAATCATTGCTCAGGCCATTGTCACATAGCTTTTCCCCTTTTTCTGCTTTCATACGTTTCATGTTATTAATCAGTAGTCTTTTATTCAGCTTAAAGAACTCCCTTTTGCAGTTCCTCTAAGGCAGGTCTAGTGACTGTGTTAGCTTTCATTTATCTGGGAAAGTTTTTATTTCTCCTTCATTTCTGAAAGACAGCATTCATTGCTGGGTAAAGTATTTTTTTGTTGACAGTAGTTTTCCTTCAGCACATTGAATATATCATCCTATTCTTTCTTAGCTTGCAGGGTTTCTACTGAGAAATCTGCTGATAGTCATTACAGTACTCCTTTGTATGTGATGTGTTTCCTATCTCTTGGCACTCTTAGATTTTGTTTGTTTGTTTTTAATAGTTTGATTCCTGTGTGTCTTGGTAAATTTCTCTTTTGGTTCAATCTCACTAGAGACCTCTGCACTCTCTATACTGGCATACTGTTATCTATCTCTAGATTAGGATGGTTTTTAGTCATCATTTCTTTAATGTTTTCTGGCTTTTTTTCTCTTTATTCACCTTCTAAAACTTCTATTATGTAATGAGTTAGTCTCTTGATAGCCTATAATTTCCAAAGGCTTTCTTCACTCTTTTCTTTTCTGCTTTTTTGTCCTTTTGCTCTTTTGACTGGCTAATTTCAAATGTTCTGTCTTCCAGATTCCTTATTTTTTTGACTGCTTGATCAAGTCTGCTGTTGAAGTGTTCTATTGATTTTTTTCATTTCAGTCACTGTATTCCTCATCTTTAGGATTTCCATTGGTTACTTTTATTGTTTCTATTGCTTTGTCAAATTTCTAGGTTTGTCATTTATTGTTTTTAAAAATTCATTTAATTTTCTATTTATATATGTTTGTATTTTGATGAACTTCTTTAAGGAAATTATTGTGATTTTTCAGTCATTTCATAGATCTCCATTTCATAAGGTCCATTATTGGAGATTTATTTGTTCCTTTTGAAGGTGTTATGATTCCTTGATTCTTCATAATCCTTGCATATTTGTCTGTACGTTTGAGGAGACAGCCTTATCTTCTAGCCATTACAGGTGTTGTTTGTTTGTTTGTTTGTTTTTTGTTTGGCAGGGATACACCATGATTTGGACCAACCTGTGATTCTGGAGGGGTCAGATAGTGACAATCTTGAAACATCAAACCTTGTGGGTTCTCTAGTTGGCTAAGTCACCGATTTGTTCTGATGTCAGGTAGAGCTGCTGGCTGGTCTCCATTCCACTGAGTCCACTGGTTAGGTTTTACTATCAGATGAAGCTAATGGCTGGGTAGTGAAAAGTTGCTTGTTAGACCAGTTACAGAATGTATTACCCAGCCAGGAAATTCCACTATCTGGGATCTACGGTTGTACAGAACTGTAGACTGAACTTCAAGTTTAGGTGGAGTTGCTGCTCAGAATAGGCAGGACTAGAGTCTGTGCTCTTTAAAAATGCAAAATAGAGAATTGCCTTCCTGTCAATGTGAAGCCATGGGGTGGGCTCTTGGTTGAATCAAGTAGCTTTTTGACCTCCTGGGTCAAGTAGATCTATACCCTATGTTTTTCTAAAATGCACATAGGTGGGAGTCTCCCTGCTTAGGTG
The DNA here is from genome assembly GCF_000001405.40 of Homo sapiens. Lineage (NCBI taxonomy): Eukaryota > Metazoa > Chordata > Mammalia > Primates > Hominidae > Homo > Homo sapiens. The sequence goes on from NC_000013.11 coordinate 82,215,852, forward strand.
GGGTTGTAGAACAGGCTTTTTGGCTGACTGGAGTTACTGCTTAACTTCCTGAATCAAGTATTTCTAGCCCCTACACTTCTTCAAAATGGTTGGAGGCAGGCATCTCTGCTTGGGCAAAGTCATTTGGGATGTGCTTTGAGGTTGGGCATGGGGACCATCCATCTAGTGACTCAAGCAATGTTGCACCTCCCACCATGCTTCTGGAGGTAACTAGCTGTACTTTGAGGGTGAGCTATGATGTTGCCTAATATCTCCGAAAAACTGCCACAATTGGCAGAAATGCATAGGCACCATTAAGATCTGCGCATGGTCACTATTACCTCTGCCTCACTTCTTTGTTTCTACCTAATCCCAAACGGTCTAGCCATGCCATTAACACCAGTGCCCCTAGTGAGATGAGAACAGATTGGGAACCATGGAAAGCATCTCAGAATAGTAGGGAAGTTGAATTACTGTTTCCAGTTTGCTTTTTTTCCCCTGTAGAAACTGTGAATTCTGGAAAATTCTATCTGGCATTATGCCAACTTGGGGGAAGGGAATGGGCAGTGCAATGGGAGTAAGACCAGTCTTTTTGTCCTTCTAATTTCAATTTTCATTCAATTCTGTGGGTCATATGGGTGTCTCAGGTTTGTTTCCAAGTATTGAAATTTTCAAAAAGATGTTCTGGTCTGTAGATAGTTGCTAGTTGAACTTTCTTTTCTTTCTTTCTTTCTTTGTTTCTTTCTTTCCTTCCTTCCTTCCTTCCTCTCTCTCTCTCCCTCTCTCTTTCTTTCTTAGTCTCACCCTGTCACCAGGCTGGGGGGCATTGATGTGATCTCAGCTCACTGCAACCTCCGTCTCCAGGTTTCAAGCAATTCTTCTGCCTCAGCTTCCTGAGTAGCTGGAATTACACATGTGTGCCACCACAGCCAGCTAACGTTTGTATTTTTAGTAGAGATGGGTTTCACCATGTTGGCCAGGCTGGTCTTGAACACCCGACTTCATATGATCCACTCACCTTGGCTTCCCAAAGTGCTGGAATTATAGGCATGAGCCACTGCACCTGGCCTGAACTTTCTTTGAAGAGGAGTGGAGCCTGAAATATCCTTTTGTGCCATCTTGCTGACATCACCAAACCAAATTTTTTACATTAGTATTTATGTGTCTCATAAAATAAACTACTTCCTGCCTTCTATAGAGACAGAGAAATTTTTAAAGCCATAAGGGAAATGTAACACAAATCGGTCATTTACATTCACATTATTTTCTTATTATAATGGCTAAATTCTTAAAACAATATTTAATCTATAAAGAAATTTATAAGTAAAATATTTATTCTTTGCTGAAGATTAACTGAGGTAATAAAATTTCTCTATATATGTATACATAGGTTATTTTACTTAACCCAATGTCGTTAAAAAAGATACCAATATTGAAAATGAGGCTGAAATAATTTTCATTTCAAGCTCATTATTATAAATTCTTCATTATCTATATTCACATATTATCTTTTCTAGAATCATGTGTAGAATATGAGCTTATGCATTGGCCTCAAATATTTTTCTGCAAGCATAGTTTTTAAATCAAATATCAATAAAATAATCAATTTTATTATATTTTGTAATTCCAGAAAATTTCTAACCTCAAAAAAGTATTTTATAACCAAAGAAGAATTTTAGTCAATGAAAAAATGAAAGGGGAGATCAGAGAAACATTACCTATAGTATATAATAAATACCCTAAATAGGTAAATACAGCTCAACTCACATTTGGAGACTACAACTATTGAGCATAGATGTTAAAAGTTAGATGATCATTACTTTTGCTGTATTCTATTCACTAGAAGCAAGTCACTAGGTGAAAGCCCAAGCTAAAGGGAGGAGAGGGAAGGGAGATTACAAAGGAGTAGTAAACTTCTGAGAGAGAGGCATAGGTTTATTATCTGGATTGTATTAATGATTCAGACATGTCAAGGTTAAGACTTTTCAAATTTTTTTATCCATCACCTCAAGCATTTATCCTTTGTGTTACAAACAATGCAATTACATAGTTATTTTTAAATGTACAATTAAATTATTTTGACTATTGTCACCCTGTTGTGCTAGCCAACACTAGATCTTATTCATTCATATTTTTCCAATTTTATACTGTAACTATGTGCCAATTGTGTGCCAATTAAACTGCAATAAAGCTGTTTAATTAGAGAGAGAGAGACAGAGAGATATATATAGAGAAAAAACATTTACTTTTCATTAATTGCATCTTAGATTTCATTTTGTTCAACATCCACATTTCTGGAATATTTCCTAATGAGTTCTATGTTAGCTTTTTTTTCCCGTCCTTTGGCTTTTTCCTTTGCATTTTCAGATACATTTTGTTTCTGTAACAAGCTGTCACTTGGCCCATGTTTAAGTTGTTATATTTAAAGTTTCTATCTCTAATTATATGTAACTGTGGAAAACTTGACATATTTCTAAATGCATAGAAAAGATAAAGGATAGACTATTAATGAGGTGGATATTATTATGATGTAATGTTAACTACAAAGGAAACGGATTCTGAAAGCAAAACTTATTAAGCATTGCATGATCCATGTGTTTAAGACAGTTTAAACTTTTTAGTAAACATTTTCCCCCAAAATGTAGTCAAATGTGACCAGACTTTCATTTTACATAACTCTTCTAATGTTATAATGTTGTTCTTACAAATGCTTTACCAACACAGTTAAGCCACAACATCTATTTGAAATATCCAGGTAATATAATCTAATTTATTTCTGAAAAATAGAGAGGTATAAAGCTTATGTGGTTTATCTGAAAATTACACATCATTATTAGAAATAATACTATATTGCTATTATTCAATTATTCATATATTTTGTGAATTATCATTTATATACTAATAGGCATTTTAGTATGATCAATAACAAAGAATAAGAAAAAAGTATTCCCCTTGCTTTACAACCTTTTCTGTGAATGTCAGTCCATTTATAAATAAATTATATGTTAAACACTAGATATAAAGCAGTGAAAAAAGAAACAAGGTCTATCTATACTTACATGGTGGGCATATTTTATAGATATATATTCTACAGTTTTCAAAATGTTTCATATTACCATTCACAAATGCCCATGTAAGTCTGTTATTTTAGACTTGACAGTGAGAAAGAAAAAGAAAAGAACAAGTCAAATACCATTCATGGTTATTATCAAATAAAAAAAGGAAAATAGCAAAGTCTATTTCCATATAAATGCTTTATAACAAAAAGAAGAAAAAAGTTAAAATAATATTATTATAATAAAATTATTCAGAAAGGCAAAAATAAAATAATATTAATAAGAATTAGAGAAGCATTGAAATGAGGTTATAAATGAAAATATAAATAGAAGCAACAAAATATAATATTTTAAAATATAAACTAGATTATAAGTAGTATGAGAAAATATAATAATGCCTTAAAGTTAATACATTAAATATAAGAGATAAAAAGAATAATTAAAAATAAACACTAAAATAAATGAAGAAATAGATAAAATGAGAATTGAGTACAAAGTGGCAAACATTAATCAGAGACAAAAATAATACATGTGAATAATAGGAGTCCCTGAATAAGAAAACCGAAGAAAGTAAACTGACTAAAGGGTGTAAAAACCCTAACATCTATAATTTAAGAACAGTTTGCTAAAGTTATAATTGCATTTTGAAAGTCCATACTATGTGTCAGAGAAAGAAAATATAATTACTTGAACAGCTAAAGAAAAAATGTATTGTTTATAAGGAGGATAAATTAGTTCATCAGATCTTTTTACAGCCTTACTTTATCACAAAAGTGGAGTAACACATTTAAGATGCTCAAGGAAAAAAGTGCGAGTCGAGTAATTTGTAGACAGCAAAACTGAATATCAATATATAATAGGTATAAACAAAATGATATCAGCATAAACAAGCTCAGCAAATACGTCCTCATTTTCCATTTCTACAGAAATTGCAAGGAATGAGCTCCAGACAACCAAAATGATGGGAAAGATATCTACATAAGGACTATGGATGACAACAAAATTTAGCTTTCTGTAAAAACAACACAGTGTACTAACAGGTAGACAGTATATAATATAATAGCTATATGTGTTGCCAATACAAGTATAATGTCGCTATTCAAAAATGGTAGAAGAAATTAGGGGATCATATGCCAAAATTTTAATATTTATAATAATTATATTGGTGGAGGCATTAATATGATATTTTATATATTTTCTATTAGCATAATATAAATATATCTGTACTACATATTAGATATATATTTCTATACAATATATACATTATATATATAAAATATTTCATAGCTTTTTCCTCTGAAAAGATTTAAAAGCAATGATCAATTCAGTAGCAATAATGATCTCTAACCCTAAAGTTATATTCTTAAAATAATGCCATTTATCACTTTCAGAAACTACAACTTCTCAGAAAAAAATGACTGTATATTGGAGATAAGAAATATGTGAGATTGACTTGGAATATCTTGTAATACCAGACAGCATAAAACTGCCAGACTACAAGAGTCATGGGCTCAGGATTCAACCTAGAGGCTCCTACTGGCTTAAGATAGAACGATTTCAGCTTCAAAAAACAAATTATTTATTTCAATGAAACCAATCAATAATGGTTGTATTTATTATTTTGTTATGATAAAACAGAAAATAAATTGTCATTTTTTAGAGGATAACAAGAAATCATTCATTATATGGTAAATAAGCAAAATAATCAAGCATTTATGCTTGTTTTTCTACTTGTACTACACCACTGAATTAGCAAATAGTAGATGAGGATATGTCCTTTTATAAAGGCAATCCAAACAATAAATGAAAAATAATGATGGAATTAGAGTATCACCAGAAATGGACAGCTTATAGGCATTAAGCATCAATGACTGCTAAAATCAAAACGAGAGGAAACCAACTATTATGTTTCCTACATACGCTTGCCAACACCATCCATAGTCTTGCCAAAAGGATCAAATCAGAGTCTGATCTAATCTTTGTATACAGCTGCCAAGTTGCAAGAAATCCAGAGTGTAGAAATATATGTAGAATTATACAAATAATATACAATCAGCAAAACCCAGAATTTGGCAAACTTTACAGGTTGAACAAAATTGCCATGCTTTTCCAAAAATACATTTTAAGAATATGGGAAGGATAAAAGAAAAGCCTATAGATTGAAAGTGATGTAAAGTTATATTAACATTTTTAATGAGCATGACTAAACTCTAATGTCTAAAGCAGCAAATTTATGTGACAAGAAGAATACTAGGAAATGAGCGCTAAAAAGTCCAGATAATTGTTACTTGCTGGAAAATGGAGAAATCTGTGATTCACATGGCTCTTAGGAAAGGACCTCATAAGTGGCTCACAAAGCTATTTTCCTTGACCTAGTGATAGTTGCCTTATAATATATTTGAATTGTGTGGTTTTATTTTCCTGTGTTTTATTTTTGATTAAATAATTTTAAGTTGTTTGGGTACTGAGTGCTGAAAAAAATATTTTTAAAAAGCTAGGTAGATTTCCCTGGCTTTCTAATGGTTTCATGAAAAACAAAAACAAAAACAAAAACAAAACACCTGGGAAAACTTAACAGGATATAAAAGCAGTATGGAAGTGTGTCAGTCTGGAGTAGAATTGGTGAGCATATCATATCTGGGAAATATTAATTTGGATAAAGTTCACAGAAAAAGTAACAGAATACATTTGTATGCATAATCTTCAAGTACATGGACACATCGATGTATTTTTATATACGAAGTGAGCCAGAGGAAAATATGTGCCATGAATATGAAGATGCACCTGGAATAAGAACATTCCTTTACATTAGCAGCATCTTCAATGAATTTAAAAAAAAAAAAAGTCAACACTCACGGATAGAATTCATGGGAATTATTTCAGAATTGACTTTTCTGAACATACTGGAGAGGATGCGGGTGAGATAATCTTGTTCCAAATATGTATACAGTTATGGATCAAAGCTAAGTCTTTCAAATGCAACAATATGGATTCAGGGTTCCCATGGAGATGTTCTCTGATTTTTCTTTTGCATTCCAATAATTAGTTTATATTGAATCCAAACCTTACCAGGATTTACGACTTTTTAAATAAATTATGCTCACAGAAACCTATACCTTCTCATTAGCAAGGTTTTGAATTCTGCTTTATATTAGATTCATGGTATCTGTAATCCATTTATTTTCTATCAAGAATATTTATACTGTTTCCATTGTATTTCCTATTAGAGCTTTAGTGGTTTTCTAAATTCAGCATGAGCATGTGTGCCAAGGACATGCTTTTTATTCAGAAAATGCCTAAAAAGGCAGACGAACAGACATCTATGAAAAAAAATCTAAAAACATCTCACAATTTCACCATATGTCAAGGGCATTAAAGTGAGAAATACAGTAGAGGAAGAAAATCCATTTGATGATACAAAGAATATGTAATGGAAGACTGAGTTTGACTAATACAGTGCCAGGATTTTGAGGTGTCCAGGAAGAATTTGAGATAATTTATTAAACAGTAAAACTTTTGTTCTGAGAAAATTTCTACATTAGAGATACATATAGATCAGTATTAAAATCAATAAATACATAGAATATGTTTCTCTTCTCTTATTCAGATATCGACATATAACAGAAGAAATATCAATTTGATATCTAAGAAATATCTAATATATTTTTTCTAATTAAGAACAAATAAATGAAAAAAACAAGTGAAACCTTTAATTTGCATATAAATAAGGGAATTAACACCAGCATCTAAGGTTATGTCAATCTGTAGAAGATTAATTCTTTCTCACCAGAATTTGTTTCCATGACATATTCAAGCCATTTATCAGGCCCAGATATTCCACTTTCCAGTATAAGCCTTCAAAGTACAAAAACATGAACTGTACCACCCCACTTACGTTGCATGGATGTTCTCTTGCTTACTTTTATTCAAGTCCCTTCCTAAACTTGTTGAGCAGTATTTCCACATACTTACTGATCATAACAATCACGAAAAATAGTTGTTATATAATAGAGCTTTTTATTTCCCGTTATTACCAGATGAGCAAACATGCCATCTTGAATTCTAATCAGTAACACACATGATTCTTATTACAATGTCTTGTATTGAATATTTTTTACATTCAATAAAGTCAATTTCACACTTTAAAAATCAGCCTACATTGGCCGGGCATGGTGGCTCACGCCTGTAATCCCAGCACTTTGGGAGGCCGAGGCGGGCGGATCACAAGGTCAGGAAATCGAGACCATCCTGGCTAACACCGTGAAACGCCGTGTCTACTAAAAACACAAAAAATTAGCCGGGTGTGGTGGCGGGCGCCTGTAGTCCCAGCTACTCTGGAGGCTGAGGCAGGAGAATGGCACGAACCCAGGAGGCAGAGCTTGCTGTGAGCCGAGATCATGCCACTGCACTCCAGCCTGGGCAACAGAGTGAGACTCTTACTCACAAAAAAAAAAAAAAAAAATCAGCCTATATTGTTTAAATATAGTTTCATTTGTAACTGACAAAATTATAACATCATAATCTAATGTAAATCAAGTGTAATTATTTTAACTTTGGATAATGTATCATTTCTAATTTTATACTGTAGAATTTAAATAAGCCAAATAGAAATGTAATTATTTAATGTCATAAAATAAAAAGAGATCATCCTTATCAACACTCCTGTGATATCTGTGTGAGACCTAGTAGACGATAAAAACCAAGTGTTCTGACAAGTTTTATTTGGTTGAGCATCGGTATTGGAAAACAAGTATGGATTTAGACAAAGATTTCAATTTGTCCAGGACTCTTCTGTGCTCCAACTTTCTCTTTAAAGGAAAATTCTGTCTTCTATTTAAGTGCTGGATGCTTCCTTGATTACTGAGGACCATGTTTCAAACAAAACAAATCTGTAATCAGATATCAGCCACTGGCAGGAATTAAAAATTGTTTATTTGTTACTATGTTGAAGTGTTTTGGTTCTTAGAGTCATACTAAGCATTTCTTCTCAAATGTGGAATCATATTTACATCTCAGGCATCCATAGACAGAAGGTAAGACATTAAGAGGCAGAGGGCAGGGATGAGAGATTTTAATTGGCATGATTAAATATATTCTCCTTAAAAATTATAATGAAAACCAATGTCCTATTTTGACTAGTGAAGGCTAAAATCTCTTACAGTATTTTTCTGCGATAACATTTCATATGCAAAATCATGTTCCTGGCTCTTTTATTGCCAATGATGTTTTTGGATCTTTCTTGCCTTTAATTTTGTATATTTTCCTGTGACCTACTACTATCCCCGGGTTTCTTAGCAATAAACAGTGGAAACACTCTATCCAAATTGCTATTTTTTAAATAACTGCCTACGAAGACAATCCTAAATGTCTGCTTTCAACACTGGTGCCTAAGGGTGAACACGCACATAATTCTTTTTAAGGCATCTCTTCTCTGCATTTCAGCAACCAAGACTACTCCCAAGGAGGATAAGAAGAAGAAGAGCGATCCAGGGCTCTTCTCGACATCACCCAAAATTCACTAAATAGAGTTCCTCTCAAGATTTATGACTCTTATTTAATGATATCAGTCCTGTGATAAATGCAGAAGTCAGATGCCCAGATGAGATGGTGTCTTTAATTCTGTGCACCACAGTTTTCTGTTGTAGCTTTGTTTTCCTCAAATAAACTTGAGACACCAAAATGATTTTTGAAGTTTGAAAAACTTTTAATGACTGCCCAGTGAGATTATTTTCCATCAGTTCTAGACTTTGTTGTTCAATGTGTTAGAATTTCTCACCATAGGCTCAGGATTATTTTATTTAGGTCCATCTGAAAATATACAAGTTAATGAAATAACATCACTATGTAATATGTTTCTATTTCAAGAATGTCTATTTGACTCATAAAATATAAGTTAAAAAGACTCTTAAAAATATTAAAGGCAGAGGAATAGATTTTTAGACAAATAAAAAATAAAAATTTAAGGAAAGCCACACTCTTTAAAATGCATCAATCTGGTAGTCTTCATCAGATAGACAGAGTTGCCCCAACCCCCGCCTAAAACACACACACACACAGTCAGGAGCCCAACATTTTAGTTGGGATCAGCAAATTTGACTATTTCTCACCATCCTGCTTTCTTAGGAATGTAAACTTGTTTTCTGAGTCAGAGGAAACCAAGAAAGTGTCCTTCATTCACTTACACAAATGATGGTATTTTAAGCCATCGAAGACTAGAAAATCAATTATGTGTATGTGCATGTGTGTGTGCACATGAATTCCACACTTTTTCCCTCAGTCTTTCCACCTGAAATTTGAATCCAGTGATGACCTCGGCCTGTAAGAACAGGCTAAATTAAATTCCTAGCCCACTACTGAATGGGCAGTAAATACACTAGTGGCTTTATGCTTCTCCAGCAGGTTAGAGGACCAACAGCCACTATAAAAAATAGTATGGTGATTCCTCACAAAACCAAAAATGGAACTACCACGTGATACAGCAACCCTATTGCTGAGTGTACATCCAAAAGAAGGGAAACCAGTGTACCGAAGAGATATCTATATCTCCATGTTTACTGCAGCACTATTCAAAATAGAAAACATGCAATGAAACTAAGTGCTTATCAACAGATGAATGGATAAAGAAAATATGAAACATATACACATGGAGTATTATTTATCCATAAAAGAAAGTAAAATGCTGCCATTTTCAGCAACATGGATAGAACTGGAGGACGTTATGTTAAGTGAAATAAAGGCAGAGAAAGACAAATATCACATATTCTCATTTATTTATGATCTCATGGAGCTAATAAATAGAATGGTTATAGAGGCTGAGAATAGTAGGGAGGAGGGTTTGAAAGGGTTTGTTAATGGGAACAAATATACAGTTAGTAAGAATAAGATGTAGTGTTTGGTAGCACAAGAGGACAACTATAATTAAAAACAATTTATTGTATATTTCAAAAGAGCTGGAAGAGAGGATTTGAAGTGTTTCCAATACAAATAAATGATAAATGTTTGAAGTGATGGAAATTTGATTACCCGGATTTGATCACTGCACATTGTATGCTCATATCAAAGACATCACACATACCCCATAAATATGTAAAAATATTATGTAATGATAAAAATTAAAAATAAAAGTGAATTAATTATTTATCTGATGCTCTCTTCCTTTCTGAATCTTTCAGTACCAATCACTGATAATAACAGTACCCCATAATAAACAGAGGTGGCTGTGTAAGCATAAATTTGTAATAATTCCTATCATGACTTGCCTATTTTTAAAATTTTGAGCTCCAAGTATTCCCCACGTCATCCCCATCCCCCCCACATAAAACACACACACACACACAATCATGAGACCAACATGTTAGCTGGCATCTGCAAATTTGACTATTTGTTGTCAACCCACTTCCTTAGGACTGCAAAACTTACCCATTACTCAGGTTTATTAAAGTCTATCATATATAAAAATGTCTGTCTATTTATGCAGACTTCTGCCATATTCTCAACTCTCCCAACAGCAAAGGTTTCCACCTGCTGTGTGAGATAGATGGACAACTCTTGCTGGCAAGGTCTAGAACCTGGGCATGGTACTGTCCTCTTTGATACTATGCATGGACCACACAGCCTTTTGCTGCTGGAAAAAAAAAGTTTCTGTGTGTTTTCTTCTGGTCATCTGTTTACTCACTGTTGCTGGTACATTAAATCTTCATTTATTTGCTTTCAGAGATCAGTAATGAAAAGTACATGTTGTAGGAGGAATCGATTCTGAGAGTAAGATCAGAGGGATGACTGATGAAGACCCTCGAATGGAAGAAAGCATAAACAAAGGTGCCGGGAACCCTTTGTTTTAGTGACTTCACAGTTTTAGTAATTGGCCAATAAGATTATTTCCCATCAATTTTGGAGTTTGTTGTTCTATGTGTCAGAATTTCTTACCACAGGCACAGTACTATTTTACTGAGGTCTTATGTAAAAATATACAATTCAATGAAATAGCATCACTAAGAAATATGTTTCTCTTTCAAGAAGGTCTATTTAACTAGTAAAATATCTGTAAAAAAAAGTATTTTAAAATACTAAAGGCTTATAAAATAGATTTGTAGACAAATAATAAATAAAAATTGAAGAAAAGCCACACTGTTTAAAATATATCTTAATATAATCTTTTTTCTGAGACTTTCATGTCATGTGACCCCAGTTATGACCTTAACAATGACTGCCTTATTTATTTCAATTTTTAAAATACTATGTTTACCCTAAATAAAAGATAGATGACTCTATTAACTCTGGGTTAGATCCACATAAACTAATATATCATTATTAGTAGCAGTCATTTCAAATTGGTAATTTAAGGTGTATACAATTATAAAAATGTAATGCCTACAACACTCATTTCTTAGAATTTCTGGTTCTATCTCCAAGTATGTTTTGTCTCAGCAGATTAATTTTACAGTGTTAATAAAAGACAAAGGAAAGGAAAACAAGAAAGAATACATGCTTCCTTTTTACAATTTGGGCTCCATATTTTTTCATATTAAAATGTTGTATGTCATTCAATTAGAATTGAACAAATCCCAAAGTTAAATTTGAGATGGAGTGTATCTGTGTTTTACTAAATTAAATCAGCATAGTAATAAAACTTTATTTCAATCTTAATAAAGTCCTAATTCCATTACTGTCATATGTAGGTTTTAAATTAGGAAATAAGAATGTTTTAAATTAAAAAACCAAAAGAAAAATCATTATTATTCAAAATGGTAAATTTGACAGTATGGAACAATGTACAGTTTGTCATCTTCCCACTTCAACTTTTTCCCCCATAATATTTCTAATTTATCTAGAGTTGCACCAATGTCCCTGATGCTGGTTTTCAACATTTCTTTAAAGGATGTTCAATAGGTACCATCAAAAAGAAAATGTTTCTTTGCACTATATATTTTGAAGTATCTCAAATTTGTAATTATAGAACTCATTGGGATAGCAATGGATAGTATCATGATTCAATTTTTCTACTTTTTAGTCTCATAATTTATTTCACTGCAAACTACATTAAAGAGCATTAATAGGAATGTAGGTCTTAATAATGTCTCCATAACTCCTTCAAGCTCTGTGGTAGATTATTACATAATATGTCCCAAAAATCATGCCTTTCTGATTTCAAGTGTTTGTGGAGGTCCCTCTTTTCTTAATTTTGGATTCCACAATTTGGCTTGCTTTGGCTGATGGGAAGATATGCTGCAGAGAAAAACATTTTAAAAAGCATTTGTGCGATAGGGCTTACCCTATTTTGAGGCTAGAAACTTTTCTGCCACTGTGTTATGAAGCCAAGACCAGCCTGCTAGAGGCACAAGGCCCAGCTGCCAGCCAGCACCAACCATAGGACTTGTGGGTGACCCTGTCTTAGGCCATCCACCCTCTTTTTTTAAGAGATGGGGTCTCACTTCTTGCCAAGGCTGGAGTGCAGTGGCATGATCCCAGTTGTCTGCACCCTCAAACTTCTGGGCTTAAGCAATCTTCCCACCTCAGTCTCCTCCAAAGTAGTTAGGACTATAGTCACACACCAGCACACCCAGCTTTATTGACCATTAAATGACCACAGCCACATAGATATGTCAAGTCAGGCTAGAAGAGTTAACTCCATATCCGAGCATAGGCCCACGTGTTGACCCAGAAAAACATGAGTAATTAAAATAATTGCTGTTTTCAGTTACTAAGTTTTAAAGAGGTTCATTATACAGTCATCAGTAAGTACTCCATGCTCGCTTTTGTGGTAAGTGGTAATAAAAACCCCATAATGCCATCAAAAATTTCTACATTTACTCATTTCATTTTTCTTTCATTTCTCTGTAGAATCTTAGCTCAAAATTTCTCTTCATGCTCTAAAATTAATTTTGCAAAAAGCAAAATGTGAAATTATATAACCACATGTTGGTGTGTGTATGCAAAGACCAAATGTATTACATTAAAACCCCTGTCCTCTTACCATGCCTTGATTCTGTTTTAATTATCATCATATATTCATTAAATATCCTCCCTTAGATAGTATTACTCATTTAATATATGCAACATTTTTCTTCTAATTTTCTTGTAATAACTTCATCAGCAATCCTAGTTTTAAAAAACTCTGAATATGCCCCAGGAAAGCCAAGACGGCCGAATAGGAACAGCTCCGGTCTACAGCTCCCAGTATGAGCGACGCAGAAGACGGGTGATTTCTGCATTTCCATCTTAGGTACCGGGTTCATC